>NC_000017.11:25920035-26081684 GCF_000001405.40 Homo sapiens | reverse complement strand
TGCCACAGAAAGAGAGTTTCAAAACTGCGCTCTCAAAAGGAGTGTTCAACTCCGTGAGTTGAATGCAGTCATCACAGAGAAGCTTCTGAGAATGCTTCTATCTAGTATTTAGGTGAAGATATTTCCTTTTCCACCACAAACCACAAAGCCCTCCAAACGTCCACTTGCAGATTCTAGAAAAAGAGTGTTTCATAGCTGCTCTTTCCAAAGGAAAGTTCAACTCTGGGAGTTGAATACAAACATCACCAAAAAGTTCCTGAGAATGCATCTGTCTAGTTTTTCTATGAAGCTATTCCCTTTACTACCATAGGCCTCAAAGCGCTCCAAATCTCCACTTGCACATTCCACAACAAGAGTGTTTCCAAACTGCTCTATCAATAGGAATGTTCAACTCTGTGAAGTGAATGCAATCATCACAAAGCAGTTTCTGAGAAGGCTTCCGTTTAGTTAGGTGCAGTTATCGCGTTTCCAACGAAATCCTCAGAGAGGTCCAAATATCCACTTGTAGATTCTACAAAAAGTGTGTCTCAAACCTGCTCCATCCAAAGGAATGTTCAGCTCTGTGAGTTCAACTCAATCATCACAAAGTATTTTCTGAGAATGCTTCTGTCTAGATTTTATGCGAAGATATACCCGTTTCGAACGAAGGCCACAGAGTGGTCCAAATAGCCACTTGCAGATCCTACAAAAAGAGTGTTTCAAACCTGAACTATCAAAGGAAGGTTCAACTCTGGGATTTGAATGCAAACATCACCAAGAAGTTTCTGAGAATGCTTCTGTTTAGTTTTTATGTGAAGATATTCCCGTTTCCAAAGACATCTTCGGAGAGGTCCACATATCCACTTGCAGATTCCACAAAAAGAGAGTTTCAACACTGCTCTATCCATAGGAGGGTTCAACTCTGTGAGTTGAATGCAATCATCACAGAGAAGTTTCTGAGAAGGCTTCTCTCCAGTTTTTATGTGACCATAATTCGTTTTCCACCACAGGCCTGAAAGCGCTCCAAATGTCCACTTGCAGACACTACGAAAAGCATGTTTCAGAACTACTCTATGAAAAGCAATGTGAAACTCTGGGAGTTGAACACAAACATCACAGAGAAGTTTCTGAGAATGCTTCTGTTTAGCTTTCCTGTGAAGATTCTCCCGTTTCCAACGAAATCTTCAAAATAGGTCCAAATATCCACTTGCAGATTCCACAGAAAGAGTGATTGGAAACTGCTCTTTGAAAAGGAACCTTCAACTCTGTGAGTTGAATGCAATCATCACAGAGAAGTTTCTGAGAAGGCTTCTATCTAGCTTTTACGGGAAGATAATTCGTTTCCACCACAGGCCTCAAAGCCCTCCAAATGTCCACTTGCAGATTCTGGAAAAAGAGTGTTTCAAAGCTTCTCTCTCGAAAGGAAAGTTCAACTCTGTGAGTTGAATGCAAGCATCACAAAGAAGTTTCTGAGAATGCTACTGTCTAGCTTTTATATGAAGCTATTTCCTTTACTACCATAGGCCTCAAAGCGGTCCATATCTCCACTTGCAGATTCTGCACAAAGAGAGTTTCCAAACTGCTCTGTCAAAGGGAATGTTCAACTCTGTGACTTGAATGCAATCATCACAAAGTAGTTTCTGAGAATGATTCTGTTTTAGTTCTGTGCGTTTTATCCCGTTTCCAACGAAATCCTCAGAGAGGCCCAAATATCCACTTGCAGATTCTACAAATAGTGTGTTTCGAAACTGCTCCATCCAAAGGAATGTTCAGCTCTGTGAGTTAAACTCAGTCGTCACCAAGAGTTTTCTGTGAATGCTTCTGTTTAGTTCTGTGCGGTTTATCCCGTTTCCAACGAAATGCTCAGAGAGGACCAAATATCCACTTGCAGTTTCTACAAAAAGAGTGTTTCAAAGCTGCACTATCAAAGAAAGGTTCAGCACTGTGAGTTGAATGCAAACATCACGAAGAGGGCTCTGAGAAATCTTCTGTTTAGTTCTGTGCGGTTTATCCCGTTTCCAACGAAATCCTCAGAGAGGACCAAATATCCACTTGCAGTTTCTACAAGAAGAGTGTTTCAAAGCTGAACTATCAAAGAAAGGTTCAGCACTGTGAGTTGAATGCAAACATCACGAAGAGGGTTCTGAGAATGCTTCTGTCTTCTTTCTATAGGAAGTTATTTCCTTTACTACGGTAGGCCTCAAAGAAGTGCAATTATCCCCTTGCAGTTTCTACAAAAAGAGTGTTTCAAACCTGAACTATCAAAGAAAGGTTCCACACTGTGAGTTGAATGCAGACATCACGAAGAAGGTTCTGAGAATGCTTCTGTTTAGTCAGCTGAAATTATCCCGTTTCCAACGAATTCCTCAGAGAGGTCCAAATATGCACTTGCAGATTCTGCAGAAAGTGTGTTTCTAAACTGCTACATCGCAAGGAATGTTCAGCTCTGTGAGTTCCACTCAATCATCCCAAAGAATTTTCTGAGAAAGCTTCTGTCTAGATGTCGTGTGAAGATATACCCGTTTCGAACGAAGGACACAGAGTGGTCCAAATATCCACTTGTAGATCCTGCAAAAAGAGTGTTTCAAACGTGAACTTTGAAAGGAAAGTTCAACTCTGGGATTTGAATGCAAACATCACAAAGAAGATTCTGAGACTGCTTCTGTATAGTTTTGATGTGAAGATGATTCCGTTTCCAACGAAATCTTCAAAGAGGTCCACATGTCCCCTTGCGGATGCCACAGAAAGAGAGTTTCAAAACTGCGCTCTCAAAAGGAGTGTTCAACTCCGTGAGTTGAATGCAGTCATCACAGAGAAGCTTCTGAGAATGCTTCTATCTAGTATTTAGGTGAAGATATTTCCTTTTCCACCACAAACCACAAAGCCCTCCAAACGTCCACTTGCAGATTCTAGAAAAAGAGTGTTTCATAGCTGCTCTTTCCAAAGGAAAGTTCAACTCTGGGAGTTGAATACAAACATCACCAAAAAGTTCCTGAGAATGCATCTGTCTAGTTTTTCTATGAAGCTATTCCCTTTACTACCATAGGCCTCAAAGCGCTCCAAATCTCCACTTGCACATTCCACAACAAGAGTGTTTCCAAACTGCTCTATCAATAGGAATGTTCAACTCTGTGAGGTGAATGCAATCATCACAAAGCAGTTTCTGAGAATGCTTCCGTTTAGTTAGGTGCAGTTATCCCGTTTCCAACGAAATCCTCAGAGAGGTCCAAATATCCACTTGTAGATTCTACAAAAAGTGTGTCTCAAACCTGCTCCATCCAAAGGAATGGTCAGCTCTGTGATTTAAACTCAATCATCACAAAGTATTTTCTGAGAATGCTTCTGTCTAGATTTTATGCGAAGATATACCCGTTTCGAACGAAGGCCACAGAGTGGTCCAAATAGCCACTTGCAGATCCTACAGAAAGAGTGTTTCAAACCTGAACTATCAAAGGAAGGTTCAACTCTGGGATTTGAATGCAAACATCACCAAGAAGTTTCTGAGAATGCTTCTGTTTAGTTTTTATGTGAAGATATTCCCGTTTCCAAAGACATCTTCGGAGAGGTCCACATATCCACTTGCAGATTCCACAAAAAGAGAGTTTCAACACTGCTCTATCCATAGGAGGGTTCAACTCTGTGAGTTGAATGCAATCATCACAGAGAAGTTTCTGAGAAGGCTTCTCTCCAGTTTTTCTGTGACCATAATTCGTTTTCCACCACAGGCCTGAAAGCGCTCCAAATGTCCACTTGCAGACACTACGAAAAGCATGTTTCAGAACTACTCTATGAAAAGCAATGTGAAATTCTGGGAGTTGAACACAAACATCACAGAGAAGTTTCTGAGAATGCTTCTGTTTAGCTTTTCTGTGAAGATTCTCCCGTTTCCAACGAAATCTTCAAAGAGGTCGAAATATCCACTTGCAGATTCCACAGAAAGAGTGATTGGAAACTGCTGTTTGAAAAGGAACCTTCAACTCTGTGAGTTGAATGCAATCATCACAAAGAAGTTTCTGACAATGCTTCTATCCAGCTTTTACGGGAAGATAATTCCTTTTCCACCACAGGCCTCAAAGCCCTCCAAATGTCCACTTGCAGATTCTGGAAAAAGAGTGTTTCAAAGCTTCTCTCTCGAAAGGAAAGTTCAACTCTGTGAGTTGAATGCAAGCATCACAAAGAAGTTTCTGAGAATGCTACTGTCTAGCTTGTCTATGAAGCTATTTCCTTTAATACCATAGTCCTCAAAGCATTCCATATCTCCACTTGCAGATTCTACACAAAGAGAGTTTCCAAACTGCTCTGTCAAAGGGAATGTTCAGCTCTGTGACTTGAATGCAATCATCACAAAGTAGTTTCTCAGAATGCTTCTGTTTTAGTTCTGTGCGGTTTATCCCGATTCCAACGAAATCTTCAGAGAGGCCCAAATATCCACTTGCAGATTCTACAAATAGTGTGTTTCGAAACTGCTCCATCCAAAGGAATGTTCAGCTCTGTGAGTTAAACTCAGTCGTCACCAAGAGTTTTCTGTGAATGCTTCTGTTTTAGTTCTGTGCGGTTTATCCCGTTTCCAACGAAATCCTCAGAGAGGACCAAATATCCACTTGCAGTTTCTACAAAAAGAGTGTTTCAAAGCTGCACTATCAAAGAAAGGTTCAGCACTGTGAGTTGAATGCAAACATCACGAAGAGGGCTCTGAGAATTCTTCTGTTTAGTTCTGTGCGGTTTATCCCGTTTCCAACGAAATCCTCAGAGAGGACCAAATATCCACTTGCAGTTTCTACAAGAAGAGTGTTTCAAAGCTGAACTATCAAAGAAAGGTTCAGCACTGTGAGTTGAATGCAAACATCACGAAGAGGGTTCTGAGAATGCTTCTTTCTTCTTTCTATAGGAAGTTATTTCCTTTACTACGGTAGGCCTCAAAGAAGTGCAATTATCCCCTTGCAGTTTCTACAAAAAGAGTGTTTCAAACCTGAACTATCAAAGAAAGGTTCCACACTGTGAGATGAATGCAGACATCACGAAGAAGGTTCTGAGAATGCTTCTGTTTAGTCAGCTGAAATTATCCCGTTTCCAACGAATTCCTCAGAGAGGTCCACATATGCACTTGCAGATTCTGCAGAAAGTGTGTTTCTAAACTGCTACATCGCAAGGAATGTTCAGCTCTGTGAGTTCCACTCAATCATCCCAAAGAATTTTCTTAGAAAGCTTCTGTCTAGATGTCATGTGAAGATATACCCGTTTCGAACGAAATACACAGAGTGGTCCAAATATCCACTTATAGATCCTGCAAAAAGAGAGTTTCAAACGTGAACTTTGAAAGGAAAGTTCAACTCTGGGATTTGAATGCAAACATCACAAAGAAGATTCTGAGACTGCTTCTGTATAGTTTTTATGTGAAGATGATTCTGTTTCCAACGAAATCTTCAAAGAGGTCTACATGTCCCCTTGCAGATGCCACAGAAAGAGAGTTTCAAAACTGCGCTCTCAAAAGGAGTGTTCAACTCCGTGAGTTGAATGCAGTCATCACAGAGAAGCTTCTGAGAATGCTTCTATCTAGTATTTAGGTGAAGATATTTCCTTTTCCACCACAAACCACAAAGCCCTCCAAACGTCCACTTGCAGATTCTAGAAAAAGAGTGTTTCATAGCTGCTCTTTCCAAAGGAAAGTTCAACTCTGGGAGTTGAATACAAACATCACCAAAAAGTTCCTGAGAATGCATCTGTGTAGTTTTTCTATGAAGCTATTCCCTTTACTACCATAGGCCTCAAAGCGCTCCATATCTCCACTTGCACATTCCACAACAAGAGTGTTTCCAAACTGCTCTATCAATAGGAATGTTCAACTCTGTGAGGTGAATGCAATCATCACAAAGCAGTTTCTGAGAATGCTTCCGTTTAGTTAGGTGCAGTTATCCCGTTTCCAACGAAATCCTCAGAGAGGTCCAAATATCCACTTGTAGATTCTACAAAAAGTGTGTCTCAAACCTGCTCCATCCAAAGGAATGTTCAGCTCTGTGAGTTCAACACAATCATCACAAAGTATTTTCTGAGAATGCTTCTGTCTAGATTTTATGCGAAGATGTACCCGTTTCGAACGAAGGCCACAGAGTGGTCCAAATATCCACTTGCAGATCCTACAAAAAGAGTGTTTCAAACCTGAACTATCAAAGGAAGGTTCAACTCTGGGATTTGAATGCAAACATCACCAAGAAGTTTCTGAGAATGCTTCTGTTTAGTTTTTATGTGAAGATAGTCCCGTTTCCAAAGACATCTTCGGAGAGGTCCACATATCCACTTGCAGATTCCACAAAAAGAGAGTTTCAACACTGCTCTATCCATAGGAGGGTTCAACTCTGTGAGTTGAATGCAATCATCACAGAGAAGTTTCTGAGAAGGCTTCTGTCCAGTTTTTATGTGACCATAATTCGTTTTCCACCACAGGCCTGAAAGCGCTCCAAATGTCCCCTTGCAGACACTACGAAAAGCATGTTTCAGAACTACTCTATGAGAAGCAATGTGACACTCTGGGAGTTGAACACAAACATCACAGAGAAGTTTCTCAGAATGCTTCTGTTTTAGTTCTGTGCGTTTTATCCCGTTTCCAACGAAATCCTCAGAGAGGCCCAAATATCCACTTGCAGATTCCACAGAAAGAGTGATTGGAAACTGCTGTTTGAAAAGGAACCTTCAACTCTGTGAGTTGAATGCAATCATCACAAAGAAGTTTCTGACAATGCTTCTGTTTTAGTTCTGTGCGGTTTATCCCGTTTCCAACGAAATCCTCAGAGAGGACCAAACATCCACTTGCAGTTTCTACAAAAAGAGTGTTTCAAAGCTGCACTATCAAAGAAAGGTTCAGCACTGTGAGTTGAATGCAAACATCACGAAGAGGGCTCTGAGAATTCTTCTGTTTAGTTCTGTGCGGTTTATCCCGTTTCCAACGAAATCCTCAGAGAGGACCAAATATCCACTTGCAGTTTCTACAAGAAGAGTGTTTCAAAGCTGAACTATCAAAGAAAGGTTCAGCACTGTGAGTTGAATGCAAACATCACGAAGAGGGTTCTGAGAATGCTTCTGTCTTCTTTCTATAGGAAGTTATTTCCTTTACTACGGTAGGCCTCAAAGAAGTGCAATTATCCCCTTGCAGTTTCTACAAAAAGAGTGTTTCAAACCTGAACTATCAAAGAAAGGTTCCACACTGTGAGTTGAATGCAGACATCACGAAGAAGGGTGTCTGAGAATGCTTCTGTTTAGTCAGCTGAAATTATCCCGTTTCCAACGAATTCCTCAGAGAGGTCCAAATATGCACTTGCAGATTCTGCAGAAAGTGTGTTTCTAAACTGCTACATCGCAAGGAATGTTCAGCTCTGTGAGTTCCACTCAATCATCCCAAAGAATTTTCTGAGAAAGCTTCTGTCTAGATGTCCTGTGAAGATATACCCGTTTCGAACGAAGGACACAGAGTGGTCCAAATATCCACTTGTAGATCCTGCAAAAAGAGTGTTTCAAACGTGAACTTTGAAAGGAAAGTTCAACTCTGGGATTTGAATGCAAACATCACAAAGAAGATTCTGAGACTGCTTCTGTATAGTTTTTATGTGAAGATGATTCCGTTTCCAACGAAATCTTCAAAGAGGTCTGCATGTCCCCTTGCAGATGCCACAGAAAGAGAGTTTCAAAACTGCGCTCTCAAAAGGAGTGTTCAACTCCGTGAGTTGAATGCAGTCATCACAGAGAAGCTTCTGAGAATGCTTCTATCTAGTATTTAGGTGAAGATATTTCCTTTTCCACCACAAACCACAAAGCCCTCCAAACGTCCACTTGCAGATTCTAGAAAAAGAGTGTTTCATAGCTGCTCTTTCCAAAGGAAAGTTCAACTCTGGGAGTTGAATACAAACATCACCAAAAAGTTCCTGAGAATGCATCTGTCTAGTTTTTCTATGAAGCTATTCCCTTTACTACCATAGGCCTCAAAGCGCTCCAAATCTCCACTTGCACATTCCACAACAAGAGTGTTTCCAAACTGCTCTATCAATAGGAATGTTCAACTCTGTGAGGTGAATGCAATCATCACAAAGCAGTTTCTGAGAATGCTTCCGTTTAGTTAGGTGCAGTTATCCCGTTTCCAACGAAATCCTCAGAGAGGTCCAAATATCCACTTGTAGATTCTACAAAAAGTGTGTCTCAAACCTGCTCCATCCAAAGGAATGGTCAGCTCTGTCATTTAAACTCAATCATCACAAAGTATTTTCTGAGAATGCTTCTGTCTAGATTTTATGCGAAGATATACCCGTTTCGAACGAAGGCCACAGAGTGGTCCAAATAGCCACTTGCAGATCCTACAGAAAGAGTGTTTCAAACCTGAACTATCAAAGGAAGGTTCAACTCTGGGATTTGAATGCAAACATCACCAAGAAGTTTCTGAGAATGCTTCTGTTTAGTTTTTATGTGAAGATATTCCCGTTTCCAAAGACATCTTCGGAGAGGTCCACATATCCACTTGCAGATTCCACAAAAAGAGAGTTTCAACACTGCTCTATCCATAGGAGGGTTCAACTCTGTGAGTTGAATGCAATCATCACAGAGAAGTTTCTGAGAAGGCTTCTCTCCAGTTTTTATGGGACCATAATTCGTTTTCCACCACAGGCCTGAAAGCGCTCCAAATGTCCACTTGCAGACACTACAAAAAGCATGTTTCAGAACTACTCTATGAAAAGCAATGTGAAACTCTGGGAGTTGAACACAAACATCACAGAGAAGTTTCTGAGAATGCTTCTGTTTTAGTTCTGTGCGTTTTATCCCGTTTCCAACGAAATCCTCAGAGAGGCCCAAATATCCACTTGCAGATTCCACAGAAAGAGTGATTGGAAACTGCTGTTTGAAAAGGAACCTTCAACTCTGTGAGTTGAATGCAATCATCACAAAGAAGTTTCTGACAATGCTTCTGTTTTAGTTCTGTGCGGCTTATCCCGTTTCCAACGAAATCCTCAGAGTGGACCAAATATCCACTAGCAGTTTCTACAAAAAGAGTGTTTCAAAGCTGCACTATCAAAGAAAGGTTCAGCACTGTGAGTTGAATGCAAACATCACGAAGAGGGCTCTGAGAATTGTTCTGTTTAGTTCTGTGCGGTTTATCCCGTTTCCAACGAAATCCTCAGAGAGGACCAAATATCCACTTGCAGTTTCTACAAGAAGAGTGTTTCAAAGCTGAACTATCAAAGAAAGGTTCAGCACTGTGAGTTGAATGCAAACATCACGAAGAGGGTTCTGAGAATGCTTCTGTCTTCTTTCTATAGGAAGTTATTTCCTTTACTACGGTAGGCCTCAAAGAAGTGCAATTATCCCCTTGCAGTTTCTACAAAAAGAGTGTTTCAAACCTGAACTATCAAAGAAAGGTTCCACACTGTGAGTTGAATGCAGACATCACGAAGAAGGTTCTGAGAATGCTTCTGTTTAGTCAGCTGAAATTATCCCGTTTCCAACGAATTCCTCAGAGAGGTCCACATATGCACTTGCAGATTCTGCAGAAAGTGTGTTTCTAAACTGCTACATCTCAAGGAATGTTCAGCTCTGTGAGTTCCACTCAATCATCCCAAAGAATTTTCTGAGAAAGCTTCTGTCTAGATGTCATGTGAAGATATACCCGTTTCGAACGGAGGACACAGAGTGGTCCAAATATCCACTTGTAGATCCTGCAAAAAGAGTGTTTCAAACGTGAACTTTGAAAGGAAAGTTCAACTCTGGGATTTGAATGCAAACATCACAAAGAAGATTCTGAGACTGCTTCTGTATAGTTTTGATATGAAGATGATTCCGTTTCCAACGAAATCTTCAAAGAGGTCCACATGTCCCCTTGCGGATGCCACAGAAAGAGAGTTTCAAAACTGCGCTCTCAAAAGGAGTGTTCAACTCCGTGAGTTGAATGCAGTCATCACAGAGAAGCTTCTGAGAATGCTTCTATCTAGTATTTAGGTGAAGATATTTCCTTTTCCACCACAAACCACAAAGCCCTCCAAACGTCCACTTGCAGATTCTAGAAAAAGAGTGTTTCATAGCTGCTCTTTCCAAAGGAAAGTTCAACTCTGGGAGTTGAATACAAACATCACCAAAAAGTTCCTGAGAATGCATCTGTCTAGTTTTTCTATGAAGCTATTCCCTTTACTACCATAGGCCTCAAAGCGCTCCAAATCTCCACTTGCACATTCCACAACAAGAGTGTTTCCAAACTGCTCTATCAATAGGAATGTTCAACTCTGTGAGGTGAATGCAATCATCACAAAGCAGTTTCTGAGAATGCTTCCGTTTAGTTAGGTGCAGTTATCCCGTTTCCAACGAAATCCTCAGAGAGGTCCAAATATCCACTTGTAGATTCTACAAAAAGTGTGTCTCAAACCTGCTCCATCCAAAGGAATGGTCAGCTCTGTGATTTAAACTCAATCATCACAAAGTATTTTCTGAGAATGCTTCTGTCTAGATTTTATGTGAAGATGTACCCGTTTCGAACGAAGGCCACAGAGTGGTCCAAATATCCACTTGCAGATCCTACAAAAAGAGTGTTTCAAACCTGAACTATCACAGGAAGGTTCAACTCTGGGATTTGAATGCAAACATCACCAAGAAGTTTCTGAGAATGCTTCTGTTTAGTTTTTATGTGAAGATATTCCCGTTTCCAAAGACATCTTCGGAGAGGTCCACATATCCACTTGCAGATTCCACAAAAAGAGAGTTTCAACAATGCTCTATCCATAGGAGGGTTCAAATCTGTGAGTTGAATGCAATCATCACAGAGAAGTTTCTGAGAAGGCTTCTCTCCAGTTTTTATGGGACCATAATTCGTTTTCCACCACAGGCCTGAAAGCGCTCCAAATGTCCACTTGCAGACACTACGAAAAGCATGTTTCAGAACTACTCTATGAAAAGCAATGTGAAACTCTGGGAGTTGAACACAAACATCACAGAGAAGTTTCTGAGAATGCTTCTGTTTAGATTTTCTGTGAAGATTCTCCCGTTTCCAACGAAATCTTCAAAGAGGTCCAAATATCCACTTGCAGATTCCACAGAAAGAGTGTTTGGAAACTGCTGTTTGTAAAGGAACCTTCATCTCTGTGAGTTGAATGCAATCATCGCAAAGAAGTTTCTGACAATGCTTCTATCTAGCTTTTACGGGAAGATAATTCCTTTTCCACCACAGGCCTCAAAGCCCTCCAAATGTCCACTTGCAGATTCTGGAAAAAGAGTGTTTCAAAGCTTCTCTCTCGAAAGGAAAGTTCAACTCTGTGAGTTGAATGCAAGCATCACAAAGAAGTTTCTGAGAATGCTACTGTCTAGCTTTTATATGAAGCTATTTCCTTTACTACCATAGGCCTCAAAGCGGTCCATATCTCCACTTGCAGATTCTACACAAAGAGAGTTTCCAAACTGCTCTGTCAAAGGGAATGTTCAACTCTGTGACTTGAATGCAATCATCACAAAGTAGTTTCTGAGAATGGTTCTGTTTAGTTCTGTGCGGTTTATCCCGTTTCCAACGAAATCCTCAGAGCGGCCCACATATCCACTTGCACATTCTACAAATAGTGTGTTTCGAAACTGCTCCATCCAAAGGAATGTTCAGCTCTGTGAGTTAAACTCAGTCGTCACCAAGAGTTTTCTGTGAATGCTTCTGTTTTAGTTCTGTGCGGGTTATCCCGTTTCCAACGAAATCCTCAGAGAGGTCCAAATATCTACTTGCAGTTTCTACAGAAAGACCGTTTCAAACCTGAACTATCAAAGAAAGGTTCAACACTGTGAGTTGAATGCAAACATCACGAAGAAGGTTCTGAGAATGCTTCTGTTTAGTTCTGTGCAGTTTATCCCGTTTCCAACGAAATGCTCAGAGAGGACCAAATATCCACTTGCAGTTTCTACAAAAAGAGTGTTTCAAAGCTGAACTATCAAAGAAAGGTTCAGCACTGTGAGTTGAATGCAAACATCACGAAGAGGGTTCTGAGAATGCTTCTGTCTTCTTTTTATAGGAAGTTATTTCCTTTACTACGGTACTCCTCAAAGAGTGCAATTATCCCCTTGCAGTTTCTACAGAAAGAGTGTTTCAAACCTGAACTATCAAAGAAAGGTTCCACACTGTGAGTTGAATGCAGACATCACGAAGAAGGTTCTGAGAATGCTTCTGTTTAGTTAGCTGAAATTATCCCGTTTCCAACGAATTCCTCAGAGAGGTCCAAATATGCACTTGCAGATTCTGCAGAAAGTGTGTTTCTAAACTGCTACATCGCAAGGAATACTCAGCTCTGTGAGTTCAACTCAATCATCCCAAAGAATTTTCTGAGAAAGCTTCTGTCTAGGTGTCATGTGAAGATATACCCGTTTCGAACGAAGGACACAGATTGGTCCAAATATCCACTTGTAGATCCTGCAAAAAGAGTGTTTCAAACGTGAACTTTGAAAGGAAAGTTCAACTCTGGGATTTGAATGCAAACATCACAAAGAAGATTCTGAGACTGCTTCTGTATAGTTTTTATGTGAAGATGATTCCGTTTCCAACGAAATCTTCAAAGAGGTCTACATATCCCCTTGCAGATGCCACAGAAAGAGAGTTTCAAAACTGCGCTCTCAAAAGGAGTGTTCAACTCCGTGAGTTGAATGCAGTCATCACAGAGAAGCTTCTGAGAATGCTTCTATCTAGTATTTAGGTGAAGATATTTCCTTTTCCACCACAAACCACAAAGCCCTCCAAACGTCCACTTGCAGATTCTAGAAAAAGAGTGTTTCATAGCTGCTCTTTCCAAAGGAAAGTTCAACTCTGGGAGTTGAATACAAACATCACCAAAAAGTTCCTGAGAATGCATCTGTCTAGTTTTTCTATGAAGCTATTCCCTTTACTACCATAGGCCTCAAAGCGCTCCAAATCTCCACTTGCACATTCCACAACAAGAGTGTTTCCAAACTGCTCTATCAATAGGAATGTTCAACTCTGTGAGGTGAATGCAATCATCACAAAGCAGTTTCTGAGAATGCTTCCGTTTAGTTAGGTGCAGTTATCCCGTTTCCAACGAAATCCTCAGAGAGGTCCAAATATCCACTTGTAGATTCTACAAAAAGTGTGTCTCAAACCTGCTCCATCCAAAGGAATGGTCAGCTCTGTGATTTAAACTCAATCATCACAAAGTATTTTCTGAGAATGCTTCTGTCTAGATTTTATGCGAAGATGTACCCGTTTCGAACGAAGGCCACAGAGTGGTCCAAATATCCACTTGCAGATCCTACAAAAAGAGTGTTTCAAACCTGAACTCTCAAAGGAAGGTTCAACTCTGGGATTTGAATGCAAACATCACCAAGAAGTTTCTGAGAATGCTTCTGTTTAGTTTTTATGTGAAGATATTCCCGTTTCCAAAGACATCTTCGGAGAGGTCCACATATCCACTTGCAGATTCCACAAAAAGAGAGTTTCAACACTGCTCTATCCATAGGAGGGTTCAACTCTGTGAGTTGAATGCAATCATCACAGAGAAGTTTCTGAGAAGGCTTCTCTCCAGTTTTTATGTGACCATAATTCGTTTTCCACCACAGGCCTGAAAGCGCTCCAAATGTCCACTTGCAGACACTACGAAAAGCATGTTTCAGAACTACTCTATGAAAAGCAACGTGAAACTCTGGGAGTTGAACACAAACATCACAGAGAAGTTTCTGAGAATGCTTCTGTTTTAGTTCTGTGGGTTTTATCCCGTTTCCAACGAAATCCTCAGAGAGGCCCAAATATCCACTTGCAGATTCCACAGAAAGAGTGATTGGAAACTGCTGTTTGAAAAGGAACCTTCAACTCTGTGAGTTGAATGCAATCATCACAAAGAAGTTTCTGACAATGCTTCTGTTTTAGTTCTGTGCGGTTTATCCCGTTTCCAACGAAATCCTCAGAGAGGACCAAATATCCACTTGCAGTTTCTACAAAAAGAGTGTTTCAAAGCTGCACTATCAAAGAAAGGTTCAGCACTGTGAGTTGAATGCAAACATCACGAAGAGGGCTCTGAGAATTCTTCTGTTTAGTTCTGTGCGGTTTATCCCGTTTCCAACGAAATCCTCAGAGAGGACCAAATATCCACTTGCAGTTTCTACAAGAAGAGTGTTTCAAAGCTGAACTATCAAAGAAAGGTTCAGCACTGTGAGTTGAATGCAAACATCACGAAGAGGGTTCTGAGAATGCTTCTGTCTTCTTTCTATAGGAAGTTATTTCCTTTACTACGGTAGGCCTCAAAGAAGTGCAATTATCCCCTTGCAGTTTCTACAAAAAGAGTGTTTCAAACCTGAACTATCAAAGAAAGGTTCCACACTGTGAGTTGAATGCAGACATCACGAAGAAGGTTCTGAGAATGCTTCTGTTTAGTCAGCTGAAATTATCCCGTTTCCAACGAATTCCTCAGAGAGGTCCAAATATGCACTTGCAGATTCTGCAGAAAGTGTGTTTCTAAACTGCTACATCGCAAGGAATGTTCAGCTCTGTGAGTTCCACTCAATCATCCCAAAGAATTTTCTGAGAAAGCTTCTGTCTAGATGTCATGTGAAGATATACCCGTTTCGAACGAAGGACACAGAGTGGTCCAAATATCCACTTGTAGATCCTGCAAAAAGAGTGTTTCAAACGTGAACTTTGAAAGGAAAGTTCAACTCTGGGATTTGAATGCAAACATCACAAAGAAGATTCTGAGACTGCTTCTGTATAGTTTTTATGTGAAGATGATTCCGTTTCCAACGAAATCTTCAAAGAGGTCCACATGTCCCCTTGCGGATGCCACAGAAAGAGAGTTTCAAAACTGCGCTCTCCAAAGGAGTGTTCAATTCCGTGAGTAGAATGCAGTCATCGGAGAGAAGATTCTGAGAATGCTTCTCTCTAGTATTTAGGTGAAGATATTTCCTTTTCCACCACAAACCACAAAGCCCTCCAAACGTCCACTTGCAGATTCTAGAAAAAGAGTGTTTCATAGCTGCTCTTTCCAAAGGAAAGTTCAACTCTGGGAGTTGAATACAAACATCACCAAAAAGTTCCTGAGAATGCATCTGTCTAGTTTTTCTATGAAGCTATTCCCTTTACTACCACAGGCCTCAAAGCGCTCCAAATCTCCACTTGCACATTCCACAACAAGAGTGTTTCCAAACTGCTCTATCAATAGGAATGTTCAACTCTGTGAGGTGAATGCAATCATCACAAAGCAGTTTCTGAGAATGCTTCCGTTTAGTTAGGTGCAGTTATCGCGTTTCCAACGAAATCCTCAGAGAGGTCCAAATATCCACTTGTAGATTCTACAAAAAGTGTGTCTCAAACCTGCTCCATCCAAAGGAATGTTCAGCTCTGTGAGTTAAACTCAATCATCACAAAGTATTTTCTGAGAATGCTTCTGTCTAGATTTTATGCGAAGATATACCCGTTTCGAACGAAGGCCACAGAGTGGTCCAAATATCCACTTGCAGATCCTACAAAAAGAGTGTTTCAAACCTGAACTATCAAAGGAAGGTTCAACTCTGGGATTTGAATGCAAACATCACCAAGAAGTTTCTGAGAATGCTTCTGTTTAGTTTTTATGTGAAGATATTCCCGTTTCCAAAGACATCTTCGGAGAGGTCCACATATCCACTTGCAGATTCCACAAAAAGAGAGTTTCAACACTGCTCTATCCATAGGAGGGTTCAACTATGTGAGTTGAATGCAATCATCACAGAGAAGTTTCTGAGAAGGCTTCTCTCCAGTTTTTATGGGACCATAATTCGTTTTCCACCACAGGCCTGAAAGCGCTCCAAATGTCCACTTGCAGACACTACGAAAAGCATGTTTCAGAACTACTCTATGAAAAGCAATGTGAAACTCTGGGAGTTGAACACAAACATCACAGAGAAGTTTCTGAGAATGCTTCCGTTTAGCTTTTCTGTGAAGGATTCTCCCGTTTCCAACGAAATCTTCAAAGAGGTCCAAATATCCACTTGCAGATTCCACAGAAAGAGTGTTTGGAAACTGCTGTTTGTAAAGGAACCTTCATCTCTGTGAGTTGAATGCAATCATCACAAAGAAGTTTCTGACAATGCTTCTATCTAGCTTTTACGGGAAGATAATTCCTTTTCCACCACAGGCCTCAAAGCTCCCCAAATGTCCACTTGCACATTCTGGAAAAAGAGTGTTTCAAAGCTTCTCTCTCGAAAGGAAAGTTCAACTCTGTGAGTTGAATGCAAGCATCACAAAGAAGTTTCTGAGAATGCTTACTGTCTAGCTTTTATATGAAGCTATTTCCTTTACTACCATAGGCCTCAAAGCGGTCCATATCTCCACTTGCAGATTCTACACAAAGAGAGTTTCCAAACTGCTCTGTCAAAGGGAATGTTCAACTCTGTGACTTGAATGCAATCATCACAAAGTAGTTTCTGAGAATGCTTCTGTTTAGTTCTGTGCGGTTTATCCCGTTTCCAACGAAATCCTCAGAGAGGCCCAAATATCCACTTGCACATTCTACAAATAGTGTGTTTCGAAACTGCTCCATCCAAAGGAATGTTCAGCTCTGTGAGTTAAACTCAGTCGTCACCAAGAGTTTTCTGTGAATGCTTCTGTTTTAGTTCTGTGCGGTTTATCCCGTTTCCATCGAAATCCTCAGAGAGGCTCAAATATCCACTTGCAGATTCTACAAATAGTGTGTTTCGAAACTGCTCCATCCAAAGGAATGTTCAGCTCTGTGAGTTAAACTCAGTCGTCACCAAGAGTTTTCTGTGAATGCTTCTGTTTAGTTCTGTGCGGTTTATCCCTTTTCCAACGAAATCCTCAGAGAGGACCAAGTATCCACTTGCAGTTTCTACAAAAAGAGTGTTTCAAAGCTGAACTATCAAAGAAAGTTTCAGCACTGTGAGTTGAATGCAAACATCACGAAGAGGGTTCTGAGAATGCTTCTGTCTTCTTTCTATAGGAAGTTATTTCCTTTACTACGGTAGGCCTCAAAGAAGTGCAATTATCCCCTTGCAGTTTCTACAAAAAGAGTGTTTCAAACCTGAACTATCAAAGAAAGGTTCCACACTGTGAGTTGAATGCAGACATCACGAAGAAGGTTCTGAGAATGCTTCTGTTTAGTCAGCTGAAATTATCCCGTTTCCAACGAATTCCTCAGAGAGGTCCACATATGCACTTGCAGATTCTGCAGAAAGTGTGTTTCTAAACTGCTACATCGCAAGGAATGTTCAGCTCTGTGAGTTCAACTCAATCATCCCAAAGAATTTTCTGAGAAAGCTTCTGTCTAGATGTCATGTGAAGATATACCCGTTTCGAACAAAGGACACAGAGTGGTCCAAATATCCACTTGTAGATCCTGCAAAAAGAGTGTTTCAAACGTGAACTTTGAAAGGAAAGTTCAACTCTGGGATTTGAATGCAAACATCACAAAGAAGATTCTGAGACTGCTTCTGTATAGTTTTTATGTGAAGATGATTCCGTTTCCAACGAAATCTTCAAAGAGGTCTACATGTCCCCTTGCAGATGCCACAGAAAGAGAGTTTCAAAACTGTGCTCTCAAAAGGAGTGTTCAACTCCGTGAGTTGAATGCAGTCATCACAGAGAAGCTTCTGAGAATGCTTCTATCTAGTATTTAGGTGAAGATATTTCCTTTTCCACCACAAACCACAAAGCCCTCCAAACGTCCACTTGCAGATTCTAGAAAAAGAGTGTTTCATAGCTGCTCTTTCCAAAGGAAAGTTCAACTCTGGGAGTTGAATACAAACATCACCAAAAAGTTCCTGAGAATGCATCTGTCTAGTTTTTCTATGAAGCTATTCCCTTTACTACCACAGGCCTCAAAGCGCTCCAAATCTCCACTTGCACATTCCACAACAAGAGTGTTTCCAAACTGCTCTATCAATAGGAATGTTCAACTCTGTGAGGTGAATGCAATCATCACAAAGCAGTTTCTGAGAATGCTTCCGTTTAGTTAGGTGCAGTTATCCCGTTTCCAACGAAATCCTCAGAGAGGTCCAAATATCCACTTGTAGATTCTACAAAAAGTGTGTCTCAAACCTGCTCCATCCAAAGGAATGGTCAGCTCTGTGATTTAAACTCAATCATCACAAAGTATTTTCTGAGAATGCTTCTGTCTAGATTTTATGCGAAGATGTACCCTTTTCGAACGAAGGCCACAGAGTGGTCCAAATATCCACTTGCAGATCCTACAAAAAGAGTGTTTCAAACCTGAACTGTCAAAGGAAGGTTCAACTCTGGGATTTGAATGCAAACATCACCAAGAAGTTTCTGAGAATGCTTCTGTTTAGTTTTTATGTGAAGATATTCCCGTTTCCAAAGACATCTTCGGAGAGGTCCACATATCCACTTGCAGATTCCACAAAAAGAGAGTTTCAACACTGCTCTATCCATAGGAGGGTTCAACTCTGTGAGTTGAATGCAATCATCACAGAGAAGTTTCTGAGAAGGCTTCTCTCCAGTTTTTATGTGACCATAATTCGTTTTCCACCACAGGCCTGAAAGCGCTCCAAATGTCCACTTGCAGACACTACGAAAAGCATGTTTCAGAACTACTCTATGAAAAGCAACGTGAAACTCTGGGAGTTGAACACAAACATCACAGAGAAGTTTCTGAGAATGCTTCTGTTTTAGTTCTGTGCGTTTTATCCCGTTTCCAACGAAATCCTCAGAGAGGCCCAAATATCCACTTGCAGATTCCACAGAAAGAGTGATTGGAAACTGCTGTTTGAAAAGGAACCTTCAACTCTGTGAGTTGAATGCAATCATCACAAAGAAGTTTCTGACAATGCTTCTGTTTTAGTTCTGTGCAGTTTATCCCGTTTCCAACGAAATCCTCAGAGAGGTCCAAATATCCACTTGCAGTTTCTACAAAAAGAGTGTTTCAAAGCTGAACTATCAAAGAAAGGTTCAGCACTGTGAGTTGAATGCAAACATCACGAAGAATGTTCTGAGAATGCTTCTGTTTAGTTCTGTGCGGTTTATCCCGTTTCCAACGAAATCCTCAGAGAGGACGAAATATCCACTTGCAGTTTCTACAAAAAGAGTGTTTCAATGCTGAACTATCAAAGAAAGGTTCAGCACTGTGATTTGAATGCAAACATCACGAAGAGGGTTCTGAGAATGCTTCTGTCTTCTTTTTATAGGAAGTTATTTCTTTTGCTACAGTAGGCCTCAAAGAAGTGCAATTATCCCCTTGCAGTTTCAACAAAAAGAGTGTTTCAAACCTGAACTATCAAAGAAAGGTTCCACACTGTGAGTTGAATGCAGACATCACGAAGAAGGTTCTGAGAATGCTTCTGTTTAGTCAGCTGAAATTATCCCGTTTCCAACGAATTCCTCAGAGAGGTCCAAATATGCACTTGCAGATTCTGCAGAAAGTGTGTTTCTAAACTGCTACATCGCAAGGAATGTTCAGCTCTGTGAGTTCCACTCAATCATCCCAAAGAATTTTCTGAGAAAGCTTCTGTCTAGATGTCATGTGAAGATATACCCGTTTCGAACGAAGGACACAGAGTGGTCCAAATATCCACTTGTAGATCCTGCAAAAAGAGTGTTTCAAACGTGAACTTTGAAAGGAAAGTTCAACTCTGGGATATGAATGCAAACATCACAAAGAAGATTCTGAGACTGCTTCTGTATAGATTTTATGTGAAGATGATTCCGTTTCCAACGAAATCTTCAAAGAGGTCTACATGTCCCCTTGCAGATGCCACAGAAAGAGAGTTTCAAAACTGCGCTCTCAAAAGGAGTGTTCAACTCCGTGAGTTGAATGCAGTCATCACAGAGAAGCTTCTGAGAATGCTTCTATCTAGTATTTAGGTGAAGATATTTCCTTTTCCACCACAAACCACAAAGCCCTCCAAACGTCCACTTGCAGATTCTAGAAAAAGAGTGTTTCATAGCTGCTCTTTCCAAAGGAAAGTTCAACTCTGGGAGTTGAATACAAACATCACCAAAAAGTTCCTGAGAATGCATCTGTCTAGTTTTTCTATGAAGCTATTCCCTTTACTACCATAGGCCTCAAAGCGCTCCAAATCTCCACTTGCACATTCCACAACAAGAGTGTTTCCAAACTGCTCTATCAATAGGAATGTTCAACTCTGTGAGGTGAATGCAATCATCACAAAGCAGTTTCTGAGAATGCTTCCGTTTAGTTAGGTGCAGTTATCCCGTTTCCAACGAAATCCTCAGAGAGGTCCAAATATCCACTTGTAGATTCTACAAAAAGTGTGTCTCAAACCTGCTCCATCCAAAGGAATGGTCAGCTCTGTGATTTAAACTCAATCATCACAAAGTATTTTCTGAGAATGCTTCTGTCTAGATTTTATGCGAAGATATACCCGTTTCGAACGAAGGCCACAGAGTGGTCCAAATAGCCACTTGCAGATCCTACAGAAAGAGTGTTTCAAACCTGAACTATCAAAGGAAGGTTCAACTCTGGGATTTGAATGCAAACATCACCAAGAAGTTTCTGAGAATGCTTCTGTTTAGTTTTTATGTGAAGATATTCCCGTTTCCAAAGACATCTTCGGAGAGGTCCACATATCCACTTGCAGATTCCACAAAAAGAGAGTTTCAACACTGCTCTATCCATAGGAGGGTTCAACTCTGTGAGTTGAATGCAATCATCACAGAGAAGTTTCTGAGAAGGCTTCTCTCCAGTTTTTATGTGACCATAATTCGTTTTCCACCACAGGCCTGAAAGCGCTCCAAATGTCCACTTGTAGACACTACGAAAAGCATGTTTCAGAACTACTCTATGAAAAGCAATGTGAAACTCTGGGAGTTGAACACAAACATCACAGAGAAGTTTCTGAGAATGCTTCTGTTTTAGTTCTGTGCGTTTTATCCCGTTTCCAACGAAATCCTCAGAGAGGCCCAAATATCCACTTGCAGATTCCACAGAAAGAGTGATTGGAAACTGCTGTTTGAAAAGGAACCTTCAACTCTGTGAGTTGAATGCAATCATCACAAAGAAGTTTCTGACAATGCTTCTATCTAGCTTTTACGGGAAGATAATTCCTTTTCCACCACAGGCCTCAAAGCCCTCCAAATGTCCACTTGCAGATTCTGGAAAAAGAGTGTTTCAAAGCTTCTCTCTCGAAAGGAAAGTTCAACTCTGTGAGTTGAATGCAAGCATCACAAAGAAGTTTCTGAGAATGCTACTGTCTAGCTTTTATATGAAGCTATTTCCTTTACTACCATAGGCCTCAAAGCGGTCCATATCTCCACTTGCAGATTCTACACAAAGAGAGTTTCCAAACTGCTCTGTCAAAGGGAATGTTCAACTCTGTGACTTGAATGCAATCATCACAAAGTAGTTTCTGAGAATGCTTCTGTTTAGTTCTGTGCGGTTTATCCCGTTTCCAACGAAATCCTCAGAGAGGCCCAAATATCCACTTGCACATTCTACAAATAGTGTGTTTCGAAACTGCTCCATCCAAAGGAATGTTCAGCTCTGTGAGTTAAACTCAGTCGTCACCAAGAGTTTTCTGTGAATGCTTCTGTTTTAGTTCTGTGTGGGTTATCCCGTTTCCAACGAAATCCTCAGAGAGGTCCAAAGATCTACTTGCAGTTTCTACAGAAAGACCGTTTCAAACCTGAACTATCAAAGAAAGGTTCAACACTGTGAGTTGAATGCAAACATCACGAAGAAGGTTCTGAGAATGCTTCTGTTTAGTTCTGTGCGGTTTATCCCGTTTCCAACGAAATCCTCAGAGAGGACCAAATATCCACTTGCAGTTTCTACAAGAAGAGTGTTTCAAAGCTGAACTATCAAAGAAAGGTTCAGCACTGTGAGTTGAATGCAAACATCACGAAGAGGGTTCTGAGAATGCTTCTGTCTTCTTTTTATAGGAAGTTATTTCCTTTACTACGGTAGGCCTCAAAGAAGTGCAATGATCCCCTTGCAGTTTCTACAAAAAGAGTGTTTCAAACCTGAACTATCAAAGAAAGGTTCCACACTGTGAGTTGAATGCAGACATCACGAAGAAGGTTCTGAGAATGCTTCTGTTTAGTCAGCTGAAATTATCCCGTTTCCAACGAATTCCTCAGAGAGGTCCACATATGCACTTGCAGATTCTGCAGAAAGGGTGTTTCTAAACTGCTACATCGCAAGGAGTGTTCAGCTCTGTTTGCTCAACTCAATCATCCCAAAGAATTTTCTGAGAAAGCTTCTGTCTAGATGTCATGTGAAGATATACCCGTTTCGAACGAAGGACACAGAGTGGTCCAAATATCCACTTGTAGATCCTGCAAAAAGAGTGTTTCAAACGTGAACTTTGAAAGGAAAGTTCAACTCTGGGATTTGAATGCAAACATCACAAAGAAGATTCTGAGACTGCTTCTGTATAGTTTTTATGTGAAGATGATTCCGTTTCCAACGAAATCTTCAAAGAGGTCTACATGTCCCCTTGCAGATGCCACAGAAAGAGAGTTCCAAAACTGCGCTCTCAAAAGGAGTGTTCAACTCCGTGAGTTGAATGCAGTCATCACAGAGAAGCTTCTGAGAATGCTTCTATCTAGTATTTAGGTGAAGATATTTCCTTTTCCACCAAAAACCACAAAGCCCTCCAAACGTCCACTTGCAGATTCTAGAAAAAGAGTGTTTCATAGCTGCTCTTTCCAAAGGAAAGTTCAACTCTGGGAGTTGAATACAAACATCACCAAAAAGTTCCTGAGAATGCATCTGTCTAGTTTTTCTATGAAGCTATTCCCTTTACTACCATAGGCCTCAAAGCGCTCCAAATCTCCACTTGCACATTCCACAATAAGAGTGTTTCCAAACTGCTCTATCAATAGGAATGTTCAACTCTGTGAGGTGAATGCAATCATCACAAAGCAGTTTCTGAGAATGCTTCCGTTTAGTTAGGTGCAGTTATCCCGTTTCCAACGAAATCCTCCGAGAGGTCCAAATATCCACTTGTAGATTCTACAAAAAGTGTGTCTCAAACCTGCTCCATCCAAAGGAATGTTCAGCTCTGTGAGTTAAACTCAATCATCACAAAGTATTTTCTGAGAATGCTTCTGTCTAGATTTTATGCGAAGATATACCCGTTTCGAACGAAGGCCACAGAGTGGTCCAAATAGCCACTTGCAGATCCTACAAAAAGAGTGTTTCAAACCTGAACTATCAAAGGAAGGTTCAACTCTGGGATTTGAATGCAAACATCACCAAGAAGTTTCTGAGAATGCTTCTGTTTAGTTTTTATGTGAAGATATTCCCGTTTCCAAAGACATCTTCGGAGAGGTCCACATATCCACTTGCAGATTCCACAAAAAGAGAGTTTCAACACTGCTCTATCCATAGGAGGGTTCAACTCTGTGAGTTGAATGCAATCATCACAGAGAAGTTTCTGAGAAGGCTTCTCTCCAGTTTTTATGTGACCATAATTCGTTTTCCACCACAGGCCTGAAAGCGCTCCAAATGTCCACTTGCAGACACTACGAAAAGCATGTTTCAGAACTACTCTATGAGAAGCAATGTGAAACTCTGGGAGTTGAACACAAACATCACAGAGAAGTTTCTGAGAATGCTTCTGTTTAGCTTTTCTGTGAAGATTCTCCCGTTTCCAACGAAATCTTCAAAGAGGTCCAAATATCCACTTGCAGATTCCACAGAAAGAGTGATTGGAAACTGCTGTTTGAAAAGGAACCTTCAACTCTGTGAGTTGAATGCAATCATCACAAAGAAGTTTCTGACAATGCTTCTATCTAGCTTTTACGGGAAGATAATTCCTTTTCCACCACAGGCCTCAAAGCCCTCCAAATGTCTACTTGCAGATTCTGGAAAAAGAGTGTTTCAAAGCTTCTCTCTCGAAAGGAAAGTTCAACTCTGTGAGTTGAATGCAAGCATCACAAAGAAGTTTCTGAGAATGCTACTGTTTAGCTTTTATATGAAGCTATTTCCTTTACTACCATAGTCCTCAAAGCGGTCCATATCTCCACTTGCAGATTCTACACAAAGAGAGTTTCCAAACTGCTCTGTCAAAGGGAATGTTCAACTCTGTGACTTGAATGCAATCATCACAAAGTAGTTTCTGAGAATGCTTCTGTTTAGTTCTGTGCGGTTTATCCCGTTTCCAACGAAATCCTCAGAGAGGCCTAAATATCCACTTGCACATTCTACAAATAGTGTGTTTCGAAACTGCTCCATCCAAAGGAATGTTCAGCTCTGTGAGTTAAACTCAGTCGTCACCAAGAGTTTTCTGTGAATGCTTCTGTTTTAGTTCTGTGCGGTTTATCCCGTTTCCAACGAAATCCTCAGAGAGGTCCAAATATCTACTTGCAGTTTCTACAGAAAGACCGTTTCAAACCTGAACTATCAAAGAAAGGTTCAACACTGTGAGTTGAATGCAAACATCACGAAGAAGGTTCTGAGAATGCTTCTGTTTAGTTCTGTGCGTTTTATCCCTTTTCCAACGAAATCCTCAGAGAGGACCAAATATCCATTTGCAGTTTCTACAAAAGGAGAGTTTCAAAGCTGAACTATCAAAGAAAGGTTCAGCACTGTGAGTTGAATGCAAACATCACGAAGAGGGTTCTGAGAATGCTTCTGTCTTCTTTCTATAGGAAGTTATTTCCTTTACTACGGTAGGCCTCAAAGAAGTGCAATTATCCCCTTGCAGTTTCTACAAAAAGAGTGTTTCAAACCTGAACTATCAAAGAAAGGTTCCACACTGTGAGTTGAATGCAGACATCACGAAGAAGGTTCTGAGAATGCTTCTGTTTAGTCAGCTGAAATTATCCCGTTTCCAACGAATTCCTCAGAGAGGTCCAAATATGCACTTGCAGATTCTGCAGAAAGTGTGTTTCTAAACTGCTACATCGCAAGGAATGTTCAGCTCTGTGAGTTCCACTCAATCATCCCAAAGAATTTTCTGAGAAAGCTTCTGTCTAGATGTCGTGTGAAGATATACCCGTTTCGAACGAAGGACACAGAGTGGTCCAAATATCCACTTGTAGATCCTGCAAAAAGAGTGTTTCAAACGTGAACTTTGAAAGGAAAGTTCAACTCTGGGATTTGAATGCAAACATCACAAAGAAGATTCTGAGACTGCTTCTGTATAGTTTTTATGTGAAGATGATTCCGTTTCCAACGAAATCTTCAAAGAGGTCTACATGTCCCCTTGCAGATGCCACAGAAAGGGAGTTTCAAAACTGCGCTCTCAAAAGGAGTGTTCAACTCCGTGAGTTGAATGCAGTCATCACAGAGAAGCTTCTGAGAATGCTTCTATCTAGTATTTAGGTGAAGATATTTCCTTTTCCACCACAAACCACAAAGCCCTCCAAACGTCCACTTGCAGATTCTAGAAAAAGAGTGTTTCATAGCTGCTCTTTCCAAAGGAAAGTTCAACTCTGGGAGTTGAATACAAACATCACCAAAAAGTTCCTGAGAATGCATCTGTCTAGTTTTTCTATGAAGCTATTCCCTTTACTACCATAGGCCTCAAAGCGCTCCAAATCTCCACTTGCACATTCCACAACAAGAGTGTTTCCAAACTGCTCTATCAATAGGAATGTTCAACTCTGTGAGGTGAATGCAATCATCACAAAGCAGTTTCTGAGAATGCTTCCGTTTAGTTAGGTGCAGTTATCCCGTTTCCAACGAAATCCTCAGAGAGGTCCAAATATCCACTTGTAGATTCTACAAAAAGTGTGTCTCAAACCTGCTCCATCCAAAGGAATGTTCAGCTCTGTGAGTTAAACTCAATCATCACAAAGTATTTTCTGAGAATGCTTCTGTCTAGATTTTATGCGAAGATGTACCCGTTTCGAACGAAGGCCACAGAGTGGTCCAAATATCCACTTGCAGGTCCTACAAAAAGAGTGTTTCAAACCTGAACTATCAAAGGAAGGTTCAACTCTGGGATTTGAATGCAAACATCACCAAGAAGTTTCTGAGAATGCTTCTGTTTAGTTTTTATGTGAAGATATTCCCGTTTCCAAAGACATCTTCGGAGAGGTCCACATATCCACTTGCAGATTCCACAAAAAGAGAGTTTCAACACTGCTCTATCCATAGGAGGGTTCAACTCCGTGAGTTGAATGCAATCATCACAGAGAAGTTTCTGAGAAGGCTTCTCTCCAGTTTTTATGTGACCATAAATCGTTTTCCACCACAGGCCTGAAAGCGCTCCAAATGTCCACTTGCAGACATTACGAAAAGCATGTTTCAGAACTACTCTATGAAAAGCAATGTGAAACTCTGGTAGTTGAACACAAACATCACAGAGAAGTTTCTGAGAATGCTTCTGTTTAGCTTTTCTGTGAAGGTTATCCCGTTTCCAACGAAATCTTCAAAGAGGTCCAAATATCCACTTGCAGATTCCACAGAAATAGTGTTTGGAAACTGCTGTTTGAAAAGGAACCTTCAACTCTGTGAGTTGAATGCAATCATCTCAAAGAAGTTTCTGACAATGCTTCTATCCAGCTTTTACGGGAAGATAATTCCTTTTCCACCACAGGCCTCAAAGCCCTCCAAATGTCCACTTGCAGATTCTGGAAAAAGAGTGTTTCAAAGCTTCTCTCTCGAAAGGAAAGTTCAACTCTGTGAGTTGAATGCAAGCATCACAAAGAAGTTTCTGAGAATGCTACTGTCTAGCTTTTATATGAAGCTATTTCCTTTACTACCATAGTCCTCAAAGCATTCCATATCTCCACTTGCAGATTCTACACAAAGAGAGATTCCAAACTGCTCTGTCAAAGGGAATGTTCAGCTCTGTGACTTGAATGCAATCATCACAAAGTAGTTTCTGAGAATGCTTCTGTTTAGTTCTGTGCGGTTTATCCCGTTTCCAACGAAATCCTCAGAGAGGCCCAAATATCCACTTCCACATTCTACAAATAGTGTGTTTCGAAACTGCTCCATCCAAAGGGATGTTCAGCTCTGTGAGTTAAACTCAGTCGTCACCAAGAGTTTTCTGTGAATGCTTCTGTTTTAGTTCTGTGCGGTTTATCCCGTTTCCAATGAAATCCTCAGAGAGGACCAAATATCCACTTGCAGTTTCTACAAAAAGAGTGTTTCAAAGCTGCACTATCAAAGAAAGGTTCAGCACTGTGAGTTGAATGCAAACATCACGAAGAGGGCTCTGAGAATTCTTCTGTTTAGTTCTGTGCGGTTTATCCCGTTTCCAACGAAATCCTCAGAGAGGACCAAATATCCACTTGCAGTTTCTACAAGAAGAGTGTTTCAAAGCTGAACTATCAAAGAAAGGTTCAGCACTGTGAGTTGAATGCAAACATCACGAAGAGGGTTCTGAGAATGCTTCTGTCTTCTTTTTATAGGAAGTTATTTCCTTTACTACGGTAGGCCTCAAAGAAGTGCAATTATCCCCTTGCAGTTTCTACAAAAAGAGTGTTTCAAACCTGAACTATCAAAGAAAGGTTCCACACTGTGAGTTGAATGCAGACATCACGAAGAAGGTTCTGAGAATGCTTCTGTTTAGTCAGCTGAAATTATCCCGTTTCCAACGAATTCCTCAGAGAGGTCCACATATGCACTTGCAGATTCTGCAGAAAGTGTGTTTCTAAACTGCTACATCGCAAGGAGTGTTCAGCTCTGTTTGCTCAACTCAATCATCCCAAAGGAATTTTCTGAGAAAGCTTCTGTCTAGATGTCATGTGAAGATATACCCGTTTCGAACGAAGGACACAGAGTGGTCCAAATATCCACTTGTAGATCCTGCAAAAAGAGTGTTTCAAACGTGAACTTTGAAAGGAAAGTTCAACTCTGGGATTTGAATGCAAACATCACAAAGAAGATTCTGAGACTGCTTCTGTATAGTTTTGATGTGAAGATGATTCCGTTTCCAACGAAATCTTCAAAGAGGTCTACATGTCCCCTTGCAGATGCCACAGAAAGAGAGTTTCAAAACTGCGCTCTGAAAAGGAGTGTTCAACTCCGTGAGTTGAATGCAGTCATCACAGAGAAGCTTCTGAGAATGCTTCTATCTAGTATTTAGGTGAAGATATTTCCTTTTCCACCACAAACCACAAAGCCCTCCAAACGTCCACTTGCAGATTCTAGAAAAAGAGTGTTTCATAGCTGCTCTTTCCAAAGGAAAGTTCAACTCTGGGAGTTGAATACAAACATCACCAAAAAGTTCCTGAGAATGCATCTGTCTAGTTTTTCTATGAAGCTATTCCCTTTACTACCATAGGCCTCAAAGCGCTCCAAATCTCCACTTGCACATTCCACAACAAGAGTGTTTCCAAACTGCTCTATCAATAGGAATGTTCAACTCTGTGAGGTGAATGCAATCATCACAAAGCAGTTTGCTGAGAATGCTTCCGTTTAGTTAGGTGCAGTTATCCCGTTTCCAACGAAATCCTCAGAGAGGTCCAAATATCCACTTGTAGATTCTACAAAAAGTGTGTCTCAAACCTGCTCCATCCAAAGGAATGGTCAGCTCTGTGATTTAAACTCAATCATCACAAAGTATTTTCTGAGAATGCTTCTGTCTAGATTTTATGGGAAGATATACCCGTTTCGAACGAAGGCCACAGAGTGGTCCAAATAGCCACTTGCAGATCCTACAAAAAGAGTGTTTCAAACCTGAACTATCAAAGGAAGGTTCAACTCTGGGATTTGAATGCAAACATCACCAAGAAGTTTCTGAGAATGCTTCTGTTTAGTTTTTATGTGAAGATATTCCCGTTTCCAAAGACATCTTCGGAGAGGTCCACATATCCACTTGCAGATTCCACAAAAAGAGAGTTTCAACACTGCTCTATCCATAGGAGGGTTCAACTCTGTGAGTTGAATGCAATCATCACAGAGAAGTTTCTGAGAAGGCTTCTCTCCAGTTTTTATGTGACCATAATTCGTTTTCCACCACAGGCCTGAAAGCGCTCCAAATGTCCACTTGCAGACACTACGAAAAGCATGTTTCAGAACTACTCTATGAAAAGCAACGTGAAACTCTGGGAGTTGAACACAAACATCACAGAGAAGTTTCTGAGAATGCTTCTGTTTAGCTTTTCTGTGAAGATTCTCCCGTTTCCAACGAAATCTTCAAAGAGGTCGAAATATCCACTTGCAGATTCCACAGAAAGAGTGATTGGAAACTGCTGTTTGAAAAGGAACCTTCAACTCTGTGAGTTGAATGCAATCATCACAAAGAAGTTTCTGACAATGCTTCTATCTAGCTTTTACGGGAAGATAATTCCTTTTCCACCACAGGCCTCAAAGCCCTCCAAATGTCCACTTGCAGATTCTGGAAAAAGAGTGTTTCAAAGCTTCTCTCTCGAAAGGAAAGTTCAACTCTGTGAGTTGAATGCAAGCATCACAAAGAAGTTTCTGAGAATGCTACTGTCTAGCTTTTCTATGAAGCTATTTCCTTTACTACCATAGGCCTCAAAGCGGTCCATATCTCCACTTGCAGATTCTACACAAAGAGAGTTTCCAAACTGCTCTGTCAAAGGGAATGTTCAACTCTGTGACTTGAATGCAATCATCACAAAGTAGTTTCTGAGAATGCTTCTGTTTAGTTCTGTGCGGTTTATCCCGTTTCCAACGAAATCCTCAGAGAGGCCCACATATCCACTTGCACATTCTACAAATAGTGTGTTTCGAAACTGCTCCATCCAAAGGAATGTTCAGCTCTGTGAGTTAAACTCAGTCGTCACCAAGAGTTTTTCTGTGAATGCTGTCTGTTTTAGTTCTGTGCGGTTTATCCCGTTTCCAAAGAAATCCTCCGAGAGGACCAAATATCTACTTGCAGTTTCTATAGAAAGACCGTTTCAAACCTGAACTATCAAAGAAAGGTTCAACACTGTGAGTTGAATGCAAACATCAAGAAGAAGGTTCTGAGAATGCTTCTGTTTAGTTCTGTGCGGTTTATCCCGTTTCCAACGAAATCCTCAGAGAGGACCAAATATCCACTTGCAGTTTCTACAAAAAGAGTGTTTCAAAGCTGAACTATCAAAGAAGGGTTCAGCACCGTGAGTTGAATGCAAACATCACGAAGAGGGTTCTGAGAATGCTTCTGTCTTCTTTTTATAGGAAGTTATCTCCTTTACTACGGTAGGCCTCAAAGAAGTGCAATGATCCCCTTGCAGTTTCTACAAAAAGAGTGTTTCAAACCTGAACTATCAAAGAAAGGTTCCACACTGTGAGTTGAATGCAGACATCACGAAGAAGGTTCTGAGAATGCTTCTGTTTAGTCAGCTGAAATTATCCCGTTTCCAAGGAATTCCTCAGAGAGGTCCACATATGCACTTGCAGATTCTGCAGAAAGTGTGTTTCTAAACTGCTACATCGCAAGGAGTGTTCAGCTCTGTTTGCTCAACTCAATCATCCCAAAGAATTTTCTGAGAAAGCTTCTGTCTAGATGTCATGTGAAGATATACCCGTTTCGAACGAAGGACACAGAGTGGTCCAAATATCCACTTGTAGATCCTGCAAAAAGAGTGTTTCAAACGTGAACTTGGAAAGAAAAGTTCAACTCTGGGATTTGAATGCAAACATCACAAAGAAGATTCTGAGACTGCTTCTGTATAGTTTTTATGTGAAGATGATTCCGTTTCCAACGAAATCTTCAAAGAGGTCTACATGTCCCCTTGCAGATGCCACAGAAAGAGAGTTTCAAAACTGCGCTCTCAAAAGGAGTGTTCAACTACGTGAGTTGAATGCAGTCATCACAGAGAAGCTTCTGAGAATGCTTCTATCTAGTATTTAGGTGAAGATATTTCCTTTTCCACCACAAACCACAAAGCCCTCCAAACGTCCACTTGCAGATTCTAGAAAAAGAGTGTTTCATAGCTGCTCTTTCCAAAGGAAAGTTCAACTCTGGGAGTTGAATACAAACATCACCAAAAAGTTCCTGAGAATGCATCTGTCTAGTTTTTCTATGAAGCTATTCCCTTTACTACCATAGGCCTCAAAGCGCTCCAAATCTCCACTTGCACATTCCACAACAAGAGTGTTTCCAAACTGCTCTATCAATAGGAATGGTCAACTCTGTGAGGTGAATGCAATCATCACAAAGCAGTTTCTGAGAATGCTTCCGATTAGTTAGGTGCAGTTATCCCGTTTCCAACGAAATCCTCAGAGAGGTCCAAATATCCACTTGTAGATTCTACAAAAAGTGTGTCTCAAACCTGCTCCATCCAAAGGAATGTTCAGCTCTGTGAGTTCAACTCAATCATCACAAAGTATTTTCTGAGAATGCTTCTGTCTAGATTTTATGCGAAGATGTACCCGTTTCGAACGAAGGCCACAGAGTGGTCCAAATATCCACTTGCAGAACCTACAAAAAGAGTGTTTCAAACCTGAACTATCAAAGGAAGGTTCAACTCTGGGATTTGAATGCAAACATCACCAAGAAGTTTCTGAGAATGCTTCTGTTTAGTTTTTATGTGAAGATATTCCCGTTTCCAAAGACATCTTCGGAGAGGTCCACATATCCACTTGCAGATTCCACAAAAAGAGAGTTTCAACACTGCTCTATCCATAGGAGGGTTCAACTCTGTGAGTTGAATGCAATCATCACAGAGAAGTTTCTGAGAAGGCTTCTCTCCAGTTTTTATGTGACCATAATTCGTTTTCCACCACAGGCCTGAAAGCGCTCCAAATGTCCACTTGCAGACACTACGAAAAGCATGTTTCAGAACTACTCTATGAAAAGCAACGTGAAACTCTGGGAGTTGAACACAAACATCACAGAGAAGTTTCTGAGAATGCTTCTGTTTAGCTTTTCTGTGAAGATTCTCCCGTTTCCAACGAAATCTTCAAAGAGGTCGAAATATCCACTTGCAGATTCCACAGAAAGAGTGATTGGAAACTGCTGTTTGAAAAGGAACCTTCAACTCTGTGAGTTGAATGCAATCATCACAAAGAAGTTTCTGACAATGCTTCTATCTAGCTTTTACGGGAAGATAATTCCTTTTCCACCACAGGCCTCAAAGCCCTCCAAATGTCCACTTGCAGATTCTGGAAAAAGAGTGTTTCAAAGCTTCTCTCTCGAAAGGAAAGTTCAACTCTGTGAGTTGAATGCAAGCATCACAAAGAAGTTTCTGAGAATGCTACTGTCTAGCTTTTATATGAAGCTATTTCCTTTACTACCATAGGCCTCAAAGCGGTCTATATCTCCACTTGCAGATTCTACACAAAGAGAGTTTCCAAACTGCTCTGTCAAAGGGAATGTTCAACTCTGTGACTTGAATGTAATCATCACAAATTAGTTTCTGAGAATGCTTCTGTTTTAGTTCTGTGCGTTTTATCCCGTTTCCAACGAAATCCTCAGAGAGGCCCAAATATCCACTTGCACATTCTACAAATAGTGTGTTTCGAAACTGCTCCATCCAAAGGAATGTTCAGCTCTGTGAGTTAAACTCAGTCGTCACCAAGAGTTTTCTGTGAATGCTTCTGTTTTAGTTCTGTGCGGGTTATCCCGTTTCCAACGAAATCCTCAGAGCGGTCCAAATATCTACTTGCAGTTTCTACAGAAAGACCGTTTCAAACCTGAACTATCAAAGAAAGGTTCAACACTGTTGAGTTGAATGCAAACATCACGAAGAAGGTTCTGAGAATGCTTCTGTTTAGTTCTGTGCGGTTTATCCCGTTTCCAACGAAATCCTCAGAGAGGACCAAATATCCACTTGCAGTTTCTACAAAAAGAGTGTTTCAAAGCTGAACTATCAAAGAAAGGTTCAGCACTGTGAGTTGAATGCAAACATCACGAAGAGGGTTCTGAGAATGCTTCTGTCTTCTTTTTATAGGAAGTTATTTCCTTTACTACGGTACTCCTCAAAGAGTGCAATTATCCCCTTGCAGTTTCTACAAAAAGAGTGTTTCAAACCTGAACTATCAAAGAAAGGTTCCACACTGTGAGTTGAATGCAGACATCACGAAGAAGGTTCTGAGAATGCTTCTGTTTAGTCAGCTGAAATTATCCCGTTTCCAACGAATTCCTCAGAGAGGTCCAAATATGCACTTGCAGATTCTGCAGAAAGTGTGTTTCTAAACTGCTACATCGCAAGGAATGTTCAGCTCTGTGAGTTCCACTCAATCATCCCAAAGAATTTTCTGAGAAAGCTTCTGTCTAGATGTCATGTGAAGATATACCCGTTTCGAACGAAGGACACAGAGTGGTCCAAATATCCACTTGTAGATCCTGCAAAAAGAGTGTTTCAAACGTGAACTTTGAAAGGAAAGTTCAACTCTGGGATTTGAATGCAAACATCACAAAGAAGATTCTGAGACTGCTTCTGTATAGTTTTTATGTGAAGATGATTCCGTTTCCAATGAAATCTTCAAAGAGGTCTACATGTCCCCTTGCAGATGCCACAGAAACAGAGTTTCAAAACTGCGCTCTCAAAAGGAGTGTTCAACTCCGTGAGTTGAATGCAGTCATCACAGAGAAGCTTCTGAGAATGCTTCTGTCTAGTATTTAGGTGAAGATATTTCCTTTTCCACCACAAACCACAAAGCCCTCCAAACGTCCGCTTGCAGATTCTAGAAAAAGAGTGTTTCATAGCTGCTCTTTCCAAAGGAAAGTTCAACTGTGGGAGTTGAATATAAACATCACCAAAAAGTTCCTGAGAATGCATCTGTCTAATTTTTCTATGAAGCTATTCCCTTTACTACCATAGGCCTCAAAGCGCTCCAAATCTCCACTTGCACATTCCACAACAAGAGTGTTTCCAAACTGCTCTATCAATAGGAATGTTCAACTCTGTGAGGTGAATGCAATCATCACAAAGCAGTTTCTGAGAATGCTTCCGTGTAGTTAGGTGCAGTTATCGCGTTTCCAACGAAATCCTCAGAGAGGTCCAAATATCCACTTGTAGATTCTACAAAAAGTGTGTCTCAAACCTGCTCCATCCAAAGGAATGTTCAGCTCTGTGAGTTAAACTCAATCATCACAAAGTATTTTCTGAGAATGCTTCTGTCTAGATTTTATGTGAAGATGTACCCGTTTCGAACGAAGGCCACAGAGTGGTACAAATATCCACTTGCAGATCCTACAAAAAGAGTGTTTCAAACCTGAACTATCAAAGGAAGGTTCAACTCTGGGATTTGAATGCAAACATCACCAAGAAGTTTCTGAGAATGCTTCTGTTTAGTTTTTATGTGAAGATATTCCCGTTTCCAAAGACATCTTCGGAGAGGTCCACATATCCACTTGCAGATTCCACAAAAAGAGAGTTTCAACACTGCTCTATCCATAGGAGGGTTCAACTCTGTGAGTTGAATGCAATCATCACAGAGAAGTTTCTGAGAAGGCTTCTCTCCAGTTTTTATGTGACCATAATTCGTTTTCCACCACAGGCCTGAAAGCGCTCCAAATGTCCACTTGCAGACACTGCGAAAAGCATGTTTCAGAACTACTCTATGAAAAGCAATGTGAAACTCTGGGAGTTGAACACAAACATCACAGAGAAGTTTCTGAGAATGCTTCTGTTTAGCTTTTCTGTGAAGATTATCCCGTTTCCAACGAAATCTTCAAAATAGGTCCAAATATCCACTTGCAGATTCCACAGAAAGAGTGATTGGAAACTGCTGTTTGAAAAGGAACCTTCAACTCTGTGAGTTGAATGCAATCATCACAAAGAAGTTTCTGACAGTGCTTCTATCTAGCTTTTACGGGAAGATAATTCCTTTTCCACCACAGGCCTCAAAGCTCCCCAAATGTCCACTTGCACATTCTGGAAAAAGAGTGTTTCAAAGCTTCTCTCTCGAAAGGAAAGTTCAACTCTGTGAGTTGAATGCAAGCATCACAAAGAAGTTTCTGAGAATGCTACTGTCTAGGTTTTATATGAAGCTATTTCCTTTACTACCATAGGCCTCAAAGCGGTCCATATCTCCACTTGCAGATTCTACACAAAGAGAGTTTCCAAACTGCTCTGTCAAAGGGAATGTTCAACTCTGTGACTTGAATGCAATAATCACAAAGTAGTTTCTGAGAATGCTTCTGTTTTAGTTCTGTGCGTTTTATCCCGTTTCCAACGAAATCCTCAGAGAGGCCCAAATATCCACTTGCAGATTCTACAAATAGTGTGTTTCGAAACTGCTCCATCCAAAGGAATGTTCAGCTCTGTGAGTTAAACTCAGTCGTCACCAAGAGTTTTCTGTGAATGCTTCTGTTTTAGTTCTGTGCGGTTTATTCCGTTTCCAACGAAATCCTCAGAGAGGACCAAACATCCACTTGCAGTTTCTACAAAAAGAGTGTTTCAAAGCTGCACTATCAAAGAAAGGTTCAGCACTGTGAGTTGAATGCAAACATCACGAAGACGGGCTCTGAGAATTCTTCTGTCTTCTTTCTATAGGAAGTTATTTCCTTTACTACGGTAGGCCTCAAAGAAGTGCAATTATCCCCTTGCAGTTTCTACAAAAAGAGTGTTTCAAACCTGAACTATCAAAGAAAGGTTCCACACTGTGAGTTGAATGCAGACATCACGAAGAAGGTTCTGAGAATGCTCTGTTTAGTCAGCTGAAATTATCCCGTTTCCAACGAATTCCTCAGAGAGGTCCAAATATGCACTTGCAGATTCTGCAGAAAGTGTGTTTCTAAACTGCTCCATCGCAAGGAATGTTCAGCTCTGTGAGTTCAACTCAATCATCCCAAAGAATTTTCTGAGAAAGCTTCTGTCTAGATGTCATGTGAAGATATACCCGTTTCGAACGGAGGACACAGAGTGGTCCAAATATCCACTTGTAGATCCTGCAAAAAGAGTGTTTCAAACGTGAACTTTGAAAGGAAAGTTCAACTCTGGGATTTGAATGCAAACATCACAAAGAAGATTCTGAGACTGCTTCTGTATAGTTTTTATGTGAAGATGATTCCGTTTCCAACGAAACCTTCAAAGAGGTCCACATGTCCCCTTGCGGATGCCACAGAAAGAGAGTTTCAAAACTGCGCTCTCAAAAGGAGTGTTCAACTCCGTGAGTTGAATGCAGTCATCACAGAGAAGCTTCTGAGAATGCTTCTATCTAGTATTTAGGTGAAGATATTTCCTTTTCCACCACAAACCACAAAGCCCTCCAAACGTCCACTTGCAGATTCTAGAAAAAGAGTGTTTCATAGCTGCTCTTTCCAAAGGAAAGTTCAACTCTGGGAGTTGAATACAAACATCACCAAAAAGTTCCTGAGAATGCATCTGTCTAGTTTTTCTATGAAGCTATTCCCTTTACTACCGTAGGCCTCAAAGCGCTCCAAATCTCCACTTGCACATTCCACAACAAGAGTGTTTCCAAACTGCTCTATCAATAGGAATGTTCAACTCTGTGAGGTGAATGCAATCATCACAAAGCAGTTTCTGAGAATGCTTCCGTTTAGTTAGGTGCAGTTATCCCGTTTCCAACGAAATCCTCAGAGAGGTCCAAATATCCACTTGTAGATTCTACAAAAAGTGTGTCTCAAACCTGCTCCATCCAAAGGAATGTTCAGCTCTGTGAGTTAAACTCAATCATCACAAAGTATTTTCTGAGAATGCTTCTGTCTAGATTTTATGCGAAGATATACCCGTTTCGAACGAAGGCCACAGAGTGGTCCAAATATCCACTTGCAGATCCTACAAAAAGAGTGTTTCAAACCTGAACTATCAAAGGAAGGTTCAACTCTGGGATTTGAATGCAAACATCACCAAGAAGATTCTGAGAATGCTTCCGTTTAGTTTTTATGTGAAGATATTCCCGTTTCCAAAGACATCTTCAAAGAGGTCCACATATCCACTTGCAGATTCCACAAAAAGAGAGTTTCAACACTGCTCTATCCATAGGAGGGTTCAACTTCTGTGAGTTGAATGCAATCATCACAGAGAAGTTTCTGAGAAGGCTTCTCTCCAGTTTTTATGTGACCATAATTCGTTTTCCACCACAGGCCTGGAAGCGCTCCAAATGTCCACTTGTAGACACTACGAAAAGCATGTTTCAGAACTACTCTATGAAAAGCAATGTGAAACTCTGGGAGTTGAACACAAACATCACAGAGAAGTTTCTGAGAATGCTTCTGTTTAGCTTTCCTGTGAAGATTCTCCCGTTTCCAACGAAATCTTCAAAATAGGTCCAAATATCCACTTGCAGATTCCACAGAAAGAGTGATTGGAAACTGCTCTTTGAAAAGGAACCTTCAACTCTGTGAGTTGAATGCAATCATCACAAAGAAGTTTCTGACAATGCTTCCATCTAGCTTTTACGGGAAGATAATTCCTTTTCCACCACAGGCCTCAAAGCCCTCCAAATGTCCACTTGCAGATTCTGGAAAAAGAGTGTTTCAAAGCTTCTCTCTCGAAAGGAAAGTTCAACTCTGTGAGTTGAATGCAAGCATCACAAAGAAGTTTCTGAGAATGCTACTGTCTAGCTTTTATATGAAGCTATTTCCTTTACTACCATAGGCCTCAAAGCGGTCCATATCTCCACTTGCAGATTCTACACAAAGAGAGTTTCCAAACTGCTCTGTCAAAGGGAATGTTCAACTCTGTGACTTGAATGCAATCATCACAAAGTAGTTTCTGAGAATGCTTCTTTTTAGTTCTGTGCGGTTTATCCCGTTTCCAACGAAATCCTCAGAGAGGCCCAAATATCCACTTGCACATTCTACAAATAGTGTGTTTCGAAACTGCTCCATCCAAAGGAATGTTCAGCTTCTGTGAGTTAAACTCAGTCGTCACCAAGAGTTTTCTGTGAATGCTTCTGTTTTAGTTCTGTGCGGGTTATCCCGTTTCCAACGAAATCCTCAGAGAGGTCCAAATATCTACTTGCAGTTTCTACAGAAAGACCGTTTCAAACCTGAACTATCAAAGAAAGGTTCAACACTGTGAGTTGAATGCAAACATCACGAAGAAGGTTCTGAGAATGCTTCTGTTTAGTTCTGTGCAGTTTATCCCGTTTCCAACGAAATGCTCAGAGAGGACCAAATATGCACTTGCAGTTTCTACAAAAAGAGTGTTTCAAAGCTGAACTATCAAAGAAAGGTTCAGCACTGTGAGTTGAATGCAAACATCACGAAGAGGGTTCTGAGAATGCTTCTGTCTTCTTTTTATAGGAAGTTATTTCCTTTACTACGGTACTCCTCAAAGAGTGCAATTATCCCCTTGCAGTTTCTACAAAAAGAGTGTTTCAAACCTGAACTATCAAAGAAAGGTTCCACACTGTGAGTTGAATGCAGACATCACGAAGAAGGTTCTGAGAATGCTTCTGTTTAGTCAGCTGAAATTATCCCGTTTCCAACGAATTCCTCACAGAGGTCCAAATATGCACTTGCAGATTCTGCAGAAAGTGTGTTTCTAAACTGCTACATCGCAAGGAATGCTCAGCTCTGTGAGTTCAACTCAATCATCCCAAAGAATTTTCTGAGAAAGCTTCTGTCTAGATGTCATGTGAAGATATACCCGTTTCGAACGAAGGACACAGAGTGGTCCAAATATCCACTTGTAGATCCTGCAAAAAGAGTGTTTCAAACGTGAACTTTGAAAGGAAAGTTCAACTCCTGGGATTTGAATGCAAACATCACAAAGAAGATGCTGAGACTGCTTCTGTATAGTTTTGATGTGAAGATGATTCCGTTTCCAACGAAATCTTCTAAGAGGTCTACATGTCCCCTTGCAGATGCCACAGAAACAGAGTTTCAAAACTGCGCTCTCAAAAGGAGTGTTCAACTCCGTGAGTTGAATGCAGTCATCACAGAGAAGCTTCTGAGAATGCTTCTCTCTAGTATTTAGGTGAAGATATTTCCTTTTCCACCACAAACCACAAAGCCCTCCAATCGTCCACTTGCAGATTCTAGAAAAAGAGTGTTTCATAGCTGCTCTTTCCAAAGGAAAGTTCAACTCTGGGAGTTGAATACAAACATCACCAAAAAGTTCCTGAGAATGCATCTGTCCAGTTTTTCTATGAAGCTATTCCCTTTACTACCATAGGCCTCAAAGCTCTCCAAATCTCCACTTGCACATTCCACAACAAGAGTGTTTCCAACTGCTCTATCAATAGGAATGTTCAACTCTGTGAGGTGAATGCAATCATCACAAAGCAGTTTCTGAGAATGCTTCCGTTTAGTTAGGTGCAGTTATCCCGTTTCCAACGAAATCCTCAGAGAGGTCCAAATATCCACTTGTAGATTCTACAAAAAGTGTGTCTCAAACCTGCTCCATCCAAAGGAATGTTCAGCTCTGTGATTTAAACTCAATCATCACAAAGTATTTTCTGAGAATGTTTCTGTCTAGATTTTATGCGAAGATATACCCGTTTCGAACGAAGGCCACAGAGTGGTCTAAATAGCCACTTGCAGATCCTACAAAAAGAGTGTTTCAAACCTGAACTATCAAAGGAAGGTTCAACTCTGGGATTTGAATGCAAACATCACCAAGAAGTTTCTGAGAATGCTTCTGTTTAGTTTTTATGTGAAGATATTCCCGTTTCCAAAGACATCTTCGGAGAGGTCCACATATCCACTTGCAGATTCCACAAAAAGAGAGTTTCAACACTGCTCTATCCATAGGAGGGTTCAACTCTGTGAGTTGAATGCAATCATCACAGAGAAGTTCTGAGAAGGCTTCTCTCCAGTTTTTATGTGACCATAATTCGTTTTCCACCACAGGCCTGAAAGCGCTCCAAATGTCCACTTGCAGACACTACGAAAAGCATGTTTCAGAACTACTCTATGAAAAGCAACGTGAAACTCTGGGAGTTGAACACAAACATCACAGAGAAGTTTCTGAGAATGCTTCTGTTTTAGTTCTGTGCGTTTTATCCCGTTTCCAACGAAATCCTCAGAGAGGCCCAAATATCCACTTGCAGATTCCACAGAAAGAGTGATTGGAAACTGCTGTTTGAAAAGGAACCTTCAACTCTGTGAGTTGAATGCAATCATCACAAAGAAGTTTCTGACAATGCTTCTATCTAGCTTTTACGGGAAGTTAATTCCTTTTCCACCACAGGCCTCAAAGCCCTCCAAATGTCCACTTGCAGATTCTGGAAAAAGAGTGTTTCAAAGCTTCTCTCTCGAAAGGAAAGTTCAACTCTGTGAGTTGAATGCAAGCATCACAAAGAAGTTTCTGAGAATGCTGCTGTCTAGCTTTTATATGAAGCTATTTCCTTTACTACCATAGGCCTCAAAGCGGTCCATATCTCCACTTGCAGATTCTACGCAAAGAGAGTTTCCAAACTGCTCTGTCAAAGGGATTGTTCAACTCTGTGACTTGAATGCAATCATCACAAAGTATTTTCTGAGAATGCTTCTGTTTTAGTTCTGTGCGGTTTATCCCATTTCCAACGAAATCCTCAGAGAGGCCCAAATATCCACTTGCAGATTCTACAAATAGTGTGTTTCGAAACTGCTCCATCCAAAGGAATGTTCAGCTCTGTGAGTTAAACTCAGTCGTCACCAAGAGTTTTCTGTGAATGCTTCTGTTTAGTTCTGTGCGGTTTATCACGTTTCCAACGAAATCCTCAGAGAGGACCAAATATCCACTTGCATTTTCTACAAAAAGAGTGTTTCAAAGCTGAACTATCAAAGAAAGGTTCAGCACTGTGTGTTGAATGCAAACATCACGAAGAGGGTTCTGAGAATTCTTCTGTTTTAGTTCTGTGCGGTTTATCCCGTTTCCAACGAAATCCTCAGAGAGGACCAAATATCCACTTGCAGTTTCTACAAAAAGAGTGTTTCAAAGCTGCACTATCAAAGAAAGGTTCAGCACTGTGAGTTGAATGCAAACATCACGAAGAGGGCTCTGAGAATGCTTCTGTTTAGTTCTGTGCGGTTTATCCCGTTTCCAACGAAATCCTCAGAGAGGACCAAATATCCACTTGCAGTTTCTACAAGAAGAGTGTTTCAAAGCTGAACTATCAAAGAAAGGTTCAGCACTGTGAGTTGAATGCAAACATCACGAAGAGGGTTCTGAGAATGCTTCTGTCTTCTTTCTATAGGAAGTTATTTCCTTTACTACGGTAGGCCTCAAAGAAGTGCAATTATCCCCTTGCAGTTTCTACAAAAAGAGTGTTTCAAACCTGAACTATCAAAGAAAGGTTCCACACTGTGAGTTGAATGCAGACATCACGAAGAAGGTTCTGAGAATGCTTCTGTTTAGTCAGCTGAAATTATCCCGTTTCCAACGAATTCCTCACAGAGGTCCAAATATGCACTTGCAGATTCTGCAGAAAGTGTGTTTCTAAACTGCTACATCGCAAGGAATGTTCAGCTCTGTGAGTTCCACTCAATCATCCCAAAGAATTTTCTGAGAAAGCTTCTGTCTAGATGTCATGTGAAGATATACCCGTTTCGAACGAAGGACGCAGAGTGGTCCAAATATCCACTTGTAGATCCTGCAAAAAGAGTGTTTCAAACGTGAACTTTGAAAGGAAAGTTCAACTCTGGGATTTGAATGCAAACATCACAAAGAAGATTCTGAGACTGCTTCTGTATAGTTTTTATGTGAAGATGATTCCGTTTCCAACGAAATCTTCAAAGAGGTCTACATGTCCCCTTGCAGATGCCACAGAAAGAGAGTTTCAAAACTGCGCTCTCAAAAGGAGTGTTCAACTCCGTGAGTTGAATGCAGTCATCACAGAGAAGCTTCTGAGAATGCTTCTGTCTAGTATTTAGGTGAAGATATTTCCTTTTCCACCACAAACCACAAAGCCCTCCAAACGTCCACTTGCAGATTCTAGAAAAAGAGTGTTTCATAGCTGCTCTTTCCAAAGGAAAGTTCAACTCTGGGAGTTGAATACAAACATCACCAAAAAGTTCCTGAGAATGCATCTGTCTAGTTTTTCTATGAAGCTATTCCCTTTACTACCACAGGCCTCAAAGCGCTCCAAATCTCCACTTGCACATTCCACAACAAGAGTGTTTCCAAACTGCTCTATCAATAGGAATGTTCAACTCTGTGAGGTGAATGCAATCATCACAAAGCAGTTTCTGAGAATGCTTCCGTTTAGTTAGGTGCAGTTATCCCGTTTCCAAGGAAATCCTCAGAGAGGTCCAAATATCCACTTGTAGATTCTACAAAAAGTGTGTCTCAAACCTGCTCCATCCAAAGGAATGTTCAGCTCTGTGAGTTCAACTCAATCATCACAAAGTATTTTCTGAGAATGCTTCTGTCTAGATTTTATGCGAAGATGTACCCGTTTCGAACGAAGGCCACAGAGTGGTCCAAATATCCACTTGCAGATCCTACAAAAAGAGTGTTTCAAACCTGAACTATCAAAGGAAGGTTCAACTCTGGGATTTGAATGCAAACATCACCAGGAAGTTTCTGAGAATGCTTCTGTTTAGTTTTTATGTGAAGATATTCCCGTTTCCAAAGACATCTTCGGAGAGGTCCACATATCCACTTGCAGATTCCACAAAAAGAGAGTTTCAACACTGCTCTATCCATAGGAGGGTTCAACTCTGTGAGTTGAATGCAATCATCACAGAGAAGTTTCTGAGAAGGCTTCTCTCCAGTTTTTATGTGACCATAATTCGGTTTTCCACCACAGGCCTGAAAGCGCTCCAAATGTCCACTTGCAGACACTACGAAAAGCATGTTTCAGAACTACTCTATGAAAAGCAATGTGAAACTCTGGGAGTTGAACACAAACATCACAGAGAAGTTTCTGAGAATGCTTCTGTTTAGCTTTTCTGTGAAGATTATCCCGTTTCCAACGATATCTTCAAAGAGGTCCAAATATCCACTTGCAGATTCCACAGAAGGCGTGCTTGGAAACTGCTGTTTGAAAAGGAACCTTCAACTCTGTGAGTTGAATGCAACCATCACAAACAAGTTCCTGACAATGCTTCTATCTAGTTTTTACTGGAAGAGAATTCCCTTTCCACCACAGGCCTCAAAGCCCTCCAAATATCCACTTGCAGATTCTAGAGAAAGAGTGTTTCAAAGCTTGTCTCTCAAAAGGAATGTTCAACTCTGTGAGTTGAATGCAAACATCACAAAGGAGTTTCTGAGAATGCTACTGTCTAGTTTTTCTATGAAGCTATTTCCTTTACTACCATAGGCCTCAAAGCGGTCCATATCTCCACTTGCAGATTCTACACAGCGAGAGTTTCCAAAGTGCTCTGTCAAAGGGAATATTCAACTCTGTGACTTGAATGCAATCATCACAAAGTAGTTTCTGAGAATGCTTCTGTTTAGTTCTGTGCGGTTTATCCCGTTTCCAACGAAATCCTCAGAGAGGCCCAAATATCCACTTGCACATTCTACAAATAGTGTGTTTCGAAACTGCTCCATCCAAAGGAATGTTCAGCTCTGTGAGTTAAACTCAGTCGTCACCAAGAGTTTTCCTGTGAATGCTTCTGTTTTAGTTCTGTGCGGGTTATCCCGTTTCCAACGAAATCCTCAGAGCGGTCCAAATATCTACTTGCAGTTTCTACAGAAAGACCGTTTCAAACCTGAACTATCAAAGAAAGGTTCAACACTGTGAGTTGAATGCAAACATCACGAAGAAGGTTCTGAGAATGCTTCTGTTTTAGTTCTGTGCGGTTTATCCCGTTTCCAACGAAATCCTCAGAGAGGACCAAACATCCACTTGCAGTTTCTACAAAAAGAGTGTTTCAAAGCTGCACTATCAAAGAAAGGTTCAGCACTGTGAGTTGAATGCAAACATCACGAAGAGGGCTCTGAGAATTCTTCTGTCTTCTTTCTATAGGAAGTTATTTCCTTTACTACGGTAGGCCTCAAAGAAGTGCAATTATCCCCTTGCAGTTTCTACAAAAAGAGTGTTTCAAACCTGAACTATCAAAGAAAGGTTCCACACTGTGAGTTGAATGCAGACATCACGAAGAAGGTTCTGAGAATGCTTCTGTTTAGTCAGCTGAAATTATCCCGTTTCCAACGAATTCCTCAGAGAGGTCCAAATATGCACTTGCAGATTCTGCAGAAAGTGTGTTTCTAAACTGCTACATCGCAAGGAATGTTCAGCTCTGTGAGTTCCACTCAATCATCCCAAAGAATTTTCTGAGAAAGCTTCTGTCTAGATGTCATGTGAAGATATACCCGTTTCGAACGAAGGACACAGTAGTGGTCCAAATATCCACTTGTAGATCCTGCAAAAAGAGTGTTTCAAACGTGAACTTTGAAAGGAAAGTTCAACTCTGGGATTTGAATGCAAACATCACAAAGAAGATTCTGAGACTGCTTCTGTATAGTTTTTAAGTGAAGATGATTCCGTTTCCAACGAAATCTTCAAAGAGGTCTACATGTCCCCTTGCAGATGCCACAGAAAGAGAGTTTCAAAACTGCGCTCTCAAAAGGAGTGTTCAACTCCGTGAGTTGAATGCAGTCATCACAGAGAAGCTTCTGAGAATGCTTCTATCTAGTATTTAGGTGAATATATTTCCTTTTCCACCACAAACCACAAAGCCCTCCAAACGTCCACTTGCAGATTCTAGAAAAAGAGTGTTTCATAGCTGCTCTTTCCAAAGGAAAGTTCAACTCTGGGAGTTGAATACAAACATCACCAAAAAGTTCCTGAGAATGCATCTGTCTAGTTTTTCTATGAAGCTATTCCCTTTACTACCATAGACCTCAAAGCGCTCCAAATCTCCACTTGCACATTCCACAACAAGAGTGTTTCCAAACTGCTCTATCAATAGGAATGTTCAACTCTGTGAGGTGAATGCAATCATCACAAAGCAGTTTCTGAGAATGCTTCCGTTTAGTTAGGTGCAGTTATCCCGTTTCCAACGAAATCCTCAGAGAGGTCCAAATATCCACTTGTAGATTCTACAAAAAGTGTGTCTCAAACCTGCTCCATCCAAAGGAATGTTCAGCTCTGTGAGTTCAACTCAATCATCACAAAGTATTTTCTGAGAATGCTTCTGTCTAGATTTTATGCGAAGATATACCCGTTTCGAACGAAGGCCACAGAGTGGTCCAAATATCCACTTGCAGATCCTACAAAAAGAGTGTTTCAAACCTGAACTATCAAAGGAAGGTTCTACTCTGGGATTTGAATGCAAACATCACCAAGAAGTTTCTGAGAATGCTTCTGTTTAGCTTTCCTGTGAAGATTCTCCCGTTTCCAACGAAATCTTCAAAATAGGTCCAAATATCCACTTGCAGACTCCACAGAAAGAGTGATTGGAAACTGCTCTTTGAAAAGGAACCTTCAACTCTGTGAGTTGAATGCAATCATCACAGAGAAGTTTCTGAGAAGGCTTCTATCTAGGCTTTTACGGGAAGATAATTCCTTTTCCACCACAGGCCTCAAAGCCCTCCAAATGTCCACTTGCAGATTCTGGAAAAAGACTGTTTCAAAGCTTCTCTCTCGAAAGGAAAGTTCAACTCTGTGAGTTGAATGCAAGCATCACAAAGAAGTTTCTGAGAATGCTACTGTCTAGCTTTTATATGAAGCTATTTCCTTTACTACCATAGGCCTCAAAGCGGTCCATATCTCCACTTGCAGATTCTACACAAAGAGAGTTTCCAAACTGCTCTGTCAAAGGGAATGTTCAACTCTGTGACTTGAATGCAATCATCACAAAGTAGTTTCTGAGAATGCTTCTGTTTTAGTTCTGTGCGGTTTATCCCGTTTCCAACGAAATCCTCAGAGAGGCCCACATATCCACTTGCAGATTCTACAAATAGTGTGTTTTGAAACTGCTCCATCCAAAGGAATGTTCAGCTCTGTGAGTTAAACTCAGTCGTCACCAAGAGTTTTCTGTGAATGCTTCTGTTTTAATTCTGTGCGGTTTATCCCGTTTCCAATGAAATCCTCAGAGAGGTCCAAATATCTACTTGCAGTTTCTACAGAAAGACCGTTTCAAACCTGAACTATCAAAGAAAGGTTCAACACTGTGAGTTGAATGCAAACATCACGAAGAAGGTTCTGAGAATGCTTCTGTTTAGTTCTGTGCGGTTTATCCCGTTTCCAACGAAATCCTCAGAAAGGACCAAATATCCACTTGCAGTTTCTACAAGAAGAGTGTTTCAAAGCTGAACTATCAAAGAAAGGTTCAGCACTGTGAGTTGAATGCAAACATCACGAAGAGGGTTCTGAGAATGCTTCTGTCTCCTTTCTATAGGAAGTTATTTCCTTTACTACGGTAGGCCTCAAAGAAGTGCAATTATCCCCTTGCAGTTTCTACAAAAAGAGTGTTTCAAACCTGAACTATCAAAGAAAGGTTCCACACTGTGAGTTGAATGCAGACATCACGAAGAAGGTTCTGAGAATGCTTCTGTTTAGTCAGCTGAAATTATCCCGTTTCCAACGAATTCCTCAGAGAGGTCCAAATATGCACTTGCAGATTCTGCAGAAAGTGTGTTTCTAAACTGCTACATCACAAGGAATGTTCAGCTCTGTGAGTTCCACTCAATCATCCCAAAGAATTTTCTGAGAAAGCTTCTGTCTAGATGTCATGTGAAGATATACCCGTTTCGAACGAAGGACACAGAGTGGTCCAAATATCCACTTGTAGATCCTGCAAAAAGAGTGTTTCAAACGTGAACTTTGAAAGGAAAGTTCAACTCTGGGATTTGAATGCAAACATCACAAAGAAGATTCTGAGACTGCTTCTGTATAGATTTTATGTGAAGATGATTCCGTTTCCAACGAAATCTTCAAAGAGGTCTACATGTCCCCTTGCAGATGCCACAGAAAGAGAGTTTCAAAACTGTGCTCTCAAAAGGAGTGTTCAACTCCCGTGAGTTGAATGCAGTCATCACAGAGAAGCTTCTGAGAATGCTTCTATCTAGTATTTAGGTGAAGATATTTCCTTTTCCACCACAAACCACAAAGCCCTCCAAACGTCCACTTGCAGATTCTAGAAAAAGAGTGTTTCATAGCTGCTCTTTCCAAAGGAAAGTTCAACTCTGGGAGTTGAATACAAACATCACCAAAAAGTTCCTGAGAATGCATCTGTCTAGTTTTTCTATGAAGCTATTCCCTTTACTACCATAGGCCTCAAAGCGCTCCAAATCTCCACTTGCACATTCCACAACAAGAGTGTTTCCAAACTGCTCTATCAATAGGAATGTTCAACTACTGTGAGGTGAATGCAATCATCACAAAGCAGTTTCTGAGAATGCTTTCCGTTTAGTTAGGTGCAGTTATCCCGTTTCCAACGAAATCCTCAGAGAGGTCCAAATATCCACTTGTAGATTCTACAAAAAGTGTGTCTCAAACCTGCTCCATCCAAAGGAATGTTCAGCTCTGTGATTTAAACTCAATCATCACAAAGTATTTTCTGAGAATGCTTCTGTCTAGATTTTATGCGAAGATATACCCGTTTCGAACGAAGGCCACAGAGTGGTCCAAATAGCCACTTGCAGATCCTACAGAAAGAGTGTTTCAAACCTGAACTATCAAAGGAAGGTTCAACTCTGGGATTTGAATGCAAACATCACCAAGAAGTTTCTGAGAATGCTTCTGTTTAGTTTTTATGTGAAGATATTCCCGTTTCCAAAGACATCTTCGGAGAGGTCCATATATCCGCTTGCAGATTCCACAAAAAGAGAGTTTCAACACTGCTCTATCCATAGGAGGGTTCAACTCTGTGAGTTGAATGCAATCATCACAGAGAAGTTTCTGAGAAGGCTTCTCTCCAGTTTTCATGTGACCATAATTCGTTTTCCACCACAGGCCTGAAAGCGCTCCAAATGTCCACTTGCAGACACTACGAAAAGCATGTTTCAGAACTACTCTATGAGAAGCAATGTGAAACTCTGGGAGTTGAACACAAACATCACAGAGAAGTTTCTGAGAATGCTTCTGTTTTAGTTCTGTGCGTTTTATCCCGTTTCCAACGAAATCCTCAGAGAGGCCCAAATATCCACTTGCAGATTCCACAGAAAGAGTGATTGGAAACTGCTGTTTGAAAAGGAACCTTCAACTCTGTGAGTTGAATGCAATCATCACAAAGAAGTTTCTGACAATGCTTCTATCTAGCTTTTACGGGAAGATAATTCCTTTTCCACCACAGGCCTCAAAGCCCTCCAAATGTCCACTTGCAGATTCTGGAAAAAGAGTGTTTCAAAGCTTCTCTCTCGAAAGGAAAGTTCAACTCTGTGAGTTGAATGCAAGCATCACAAAGAAGTTTCTGAGAATGCTACTGTCTAGCTTTTATATGAAGCTATTTCCTTTACTACCATAGTCCTCAAAGCGGTCCATATCTCCACTTTGCAGATTCTACACAAAGAGAGTTTCCAAACTGCTCTGTCAACGGGAATGTTCAACTCTGTGACTTGAATGCAATCATCACAAAGTAGTTTCTGAGAATGCTTCTGTTTTAGTTCTGTGCGGTTTATCCCGTTTCCAACGAAATCCTCAGAGAGGCCCAAATATCCACTTGCACATTCTACGAATAGTGTGTTTCGAAACTGCTCCATCCAAAGTGATGTTCAGCTCTGTGAGTTAAACTCAGTCGTCACCAAGTGTTTTCTGTGAATGCTTCTGTTTTAGTTCTGTGCGGGTTATCCCGTTTCCAACGAAATCCTCAGAGAGGTCCAAATATCTACTTGCAGTTTCTACAGAAAGACCGTTTCAAACCTGAACTATCAAAGAAAGGTTCAACACTGTGAGTTGAATGCAAACATCACGAAGAAGGTTCTGAGAATGCTTCTGTTTTAGTTCTGTGCGGTTTATCCCGTTTCCAACGAAATCCTCAGAGAGGACCAAATATCCACTTGCAGTTTCTACAAAAAGAGTGTTTCAAAGCTGCACTATCAAAAAAAGGTTCAGCACTGTGAGTTGAATGCAAACATCACGAAGAGGACTCTGAGAATGCTTCTGTTTTAGTTCTGTGCGGTTTAACCCGTTTCCAACGAAATCCTCAGAGAGGTCCAAATATCTACTTGCATTTTCTACAGAAAGACCGTTTCAAACCTGAACTATCAAAGAAAGGTTCAACACTGTGAGTTGAATGCAAACATCACGAAGAAGGTTCTGAGAATACTTCTGTTTAGTCAGCTGAAATTATCCCGTTTCCAACGAATTCCTCACAGAGGTCCAAATATGCACTTGCAGATTCTGCAGAAAGTGTGTTTCTAAACTGCTACATCGCAAGGAATGCTCAGCTCTGTGAGTTCAACTCAATCATCCCAAAGAATTTTCTGAGAAAGCTTCTGTCTAGATGTCATGTGAAGATATACCCGTTTCGAACGAAGGACACAGAGTGGTCCAAATATCCACTTGTAGATCCTGCAAAAAGAGTGTTTCAAACGTGAACTTTGAAAGGAAAGTTCAACTCTGGGATTTGAATGCAAACATCACAAAGAAGATTCTGAGACTGCTTCTGTATAGTTTTTATGTGAAGATGATTCCGTTTCCAACGAAATCTTCAAAGAGGTCTACATGTCCCCTTGCAGATGCCACAGAAAGAGAGTTTCAAAACTGCGCTCTCAAAAGGAGTGTTGAACTCCGTGAGTTGAATGCAGTCATCACAGAGAAGCTTCTGAGAATGCTTCTATCTAGTATTTAGGTGAAGATATTTCCTTTTCCACCACAAACCACAAAGCCCTCCAAACGTCCACTTGCAGATTCTAGAAAAAGAGTGTTTCATAGCTGCTCTTTCCAAAGGAAAGTTCAACTCTGGGAGTTGAATACAAACATCACCAAAAAGTTCCTGAGAATGCATCTGTCTAGTTTTTCTATGAAGCTATTCCCTTTACTACCATAGGCCTCAAAGCGCTCCAAATCTCCACTTGCACATTCCACAACAAGAGTGTTTCCAAACTGCTCTATCAATAGGAATGTTCAACTACTGTGAGGTGAATGCAATCATCACAAAGCAGTTTCTGAGAATGCTTTCCGTTTAGTTAGGTGCAGTTATCCCGTTTCCAACGAAATCCTCAGAGAGGTCCAAATATCCACTTGTAGATTCTACAAAAGGTGTGTCTCAAACCTGCTCCATCCAAAGGAATGTTCAGCTCTGTGAGTTAAACTCAATCATCACAAAGTATTTTCTGAGAATGCTTCTGTCTAGATTTTATGCGAAGATATACCCGTTTCGAACGAAGGCCACAGAGTGGTCCAAATAGCCACTTGCAGATCCTACAAAAAGAGTGTTTCAAACCTGAACTATCACAGGAAGGTTCAACTCTGGGATTTGAATGCAAACATCACCAAGAAGTTTCTGAGAATGCTTCTGTTTAGTTTTTATGTGAAGATATTCCCGTTTCCAAAGACATCTTCGGAGAGGTCCACATATCCACTTGCAGATTCCACAAAAAGAGAGTTTCAACACTGCTCTATCCATAGGAGGGTTCAACTCTGTGAGTTGAATGCAATCATCACAGAGAAGTTTCTGAGAAGGCTTCTCTCCAGTTTTTATGTGACCATAATTCGTTTTCCACCACAGGCCTGAAAGCGCTCCAAATGTCCACTTGCAGACACTACGAAAAGCATGTTTCAGAACTACTCTATGAAAAGCAACGTGAAACTCTGGGAGTTGAACACAAACATCACAGAGAAGTTTCTGAGAATGCTTCTGTTTAGCTTTTCTGTGAAGATTCTCCCGTTTCCAACGAAATCTTCAAAGAGGTCCAAATATCCACTTGCAGATTCCACAGAAAGAGTGATTGGAAACTGCTCTTTGAAAAGGAACCTTCAACTCTGTGACTTGAATGCAATCATCACAAAGAAGTTTCTGACAATGCTTCTATCCAGCTTTTACGGGAAGATAATTCCTTTTCCACCACAGGCCTCAAAGCCCTCCAAATGTCCACTTGCAGATTCTGGAAAAAGAGTGTTTCAAAGCTTCTCTCTCGAAAGGAAAGTTCAACTCTGTGAGTTGAATGCAAGCATCACAAAGAAGTTTCTGAGAATGCTACTGTCTAGCTTTTATATGAAGCTATTTCCTTTACTACCATAGGCCTCAAAGCGGTCCATATCTCCACTTGCAGATTCTACACAAAGAGAGTTTCCAAACTGCTCTGTCAAAGGGAATGTTCAACTCTGTGACTTGAATGCAATCATCACAAAGTAGTTTCTGAGAATGCTTCTGTTTAGTTCTGTGCGGTTTATCCCGTTTCCAACGAAATCCTCAGAGAGGCCTAAATATCCACTTGCACATTCTACAAATAGTGTGTTTCGAAACTGCTCCATCCAAAGGAATGTTCAGCTCTGTGAGTTAAACTCAGTCGTCACCAAGAGTTTTCTGTGAATGCTTCTGTTTTAGTTCTGTGCGGTTTATCCCGTTTCCAACGAAATCCTCAGAGAGGTCCAAATATCTACTTGCAGTTTCTACAGAAAGACCGTTTCAAACCTGAACTATCAAAGAAAGGTTCAACACTGTGAGTTGAATGCAAACATCACGAAGAAGGTTCTGAGAATGCTTCTGTTTAGTTCTGTGCGGTTTATCCCGTTTCCAACGAAATCCTCAGAGAGGACCAAATATCCACTTGCAGTTTCTACAAAAAGAGTGTTTCAAAGCTGAACTATCAAAGAAAGGTTCAGCACTGTGAGTTGAATGCAAACATCACGAAGAGGGTTCTGAGAATGCTTCTGTCTTCTTTCTATAGGAAGTTATTTCCTTTACTACGGTAGGCCTCAAAGAAGTGCAATTATCCCCTTGCAGTTTCTACAAAAAGAGTGTTTCAAACCTGAACTATCAAAGAAAGGTTCCACACTGTGAGTTGAATGCAGACATCACGAAGAAGGTTCTGAGAATGCTTCTGTTTAGTCAGCTGAAATTATCCCGTTTCCAACGAATTCCTCACAGAGGTCCAAATATGCACTTGCAGATTCTGCAGAAAGTGTGTTTCTAAACTGCTACATCGCAAGGAATGCTCAGCTCTGTGAGTTCAACTCAATCATCCCAAAGAATTTTCTGAGAAAGCTTCTGTCTAGATGTCATGTGAAGATATACCCGTTTCGAACGAAGGACACAGAGTGGTCCAAATATCCACTTGTAGATCCTGCAAAAAGAGTGTTTCAAACGTGAACTTTGAAAGGAAAGTTCAACTCTGGGATTTGAATGCAAACATCACAAAGAAGATTCTGAGACTGCTTCTGTATAGTTTTGATGTGAAGATGATTCCGTTTCCAACGAAATCTTCAAAGAGGTCGACATGTCCCCTTGCAGATGCCACAGAAAGAGAGTTTCAAAACTGTGCTCTCAAAAGGAGTGCTCAACTCCGTGAGTTGAATGCAGTCATCACAGAGAAGCTTCTGAGAATGCTTCTATCTAGTATTTAGGTGAAGATATTTCCTTTTCCACCACAAACCACAAAGCCCTCCAAACGTCCACTTGCAGATTCTAGAAAAAGAGTGTTTCATAGCTGCTCTTTCCAAAGGAAAGTTCAACTCTGGGAGTTGAATACAAACATCACCAAAAGGTTCCTGAGAATGCATCTGTCTAGTTTTTCTATGAAGCTATTCCCTTTACTACCACAGGCCTCAAAGCGCTCCAAATCTCCACTTGCACATTCCACAACAAGAGTGTTTCCAAACTGCTCTATCAATAGGAATGTTCAACTCTGTGAGGTGAATGCAATCATCACAAAGCAGTTTCTGAGAATGCTTCCGTTTAGTTAGGTGCAGTTATCCCGTTTCCAACGAAATCCTCAGAGAGGTCCAAATATCCACTTGTAGATTCTACAAAAAGTGTGTCTCAAACCTGCTCCATCCAAAGGAATGTTCAGCTCTGTGAGTTCAACTCAATCATCACAAAGTATTTTCTGAGAATGCTTCTGTCTAGATTTTATGCGAAGATGTACCCGTTTCGAACGAAGGCCACAGTGTGGTCCAAATATCCACTTGCAGATCCTACAAAAAGAGTGTTTCAAACCTAAACTATCAAAGGAAGGTTCAACTCTGGGATTTGAAAGCAAACATCACCAAGAAGTTTCTGAGAATGCTTCTGTTTAGTTTTTATGTGAAGATATTCCCGTTTCCAAAGACATCTTCGGAGAGGTCCACATATCCACTTGCAGATTCCACAAAAAGAGAGTTTCAACACTGCTCTATCCATAGGAGGGTTCAACTCTGTGAGTTGAATGCAATCATCACAGAGAAGTTTCTGAGAAGGCTTCTCTCCAGTTTTTATGTGACCATAATTCGTTTTCCACCACAGGCCTGAAAGCGCTCCAAATGTCCACTTGTAGACACTACGAAAAGCATGTTTCAGAACTACTCTATGAAAAGCAATGTGAAACTCTGGGAGTTGAACACAAACATCACAGAGAAGTTTCTGAGAATGCTTCTGTTTTAGTTCTGTGCGTTTTATCCCGTTTCCAACGAAATCCTCAGAGAGGCCCAAATATCCACTTGCAGATTCCACAGAAAGAGTGATTGGAAACTGCTGTTTGAAAAGGAACCTTCAACTCTGTGAGTTGAATGCAATCATCACAAAGAAGTTTCTGACAATGCTTCTGTTTTAGTTCTGTGCGGTTTATCCCGTTTCCAACGAAATCCTCAGAGAGGACCAAACATCCACTTGCAGTTTCTACAAAAAGAGTGTTTCAAAGCTGCACTATCAAAGAAAGGTTCAGCACTGTGAGTTGAATGCAAACATCACGAAGAGGGCTCTGAGAATTCTTCTGTTTAGTTCTGTGCGGTTTATCCCGTTTCCAACGAAATCCTCAGAGAGGACCAAATATCCACTTGCAGTTTCTACAAGAAGAGTGTTTCAAAGCTGAACTATCAAAGAAAGGTTCAGCACTGTGAGTTGAATGCAAACATCACGAAGAGGGTTCTGAGAATGCTTCTGTCTTCTTTCTATAGGAAGTTATTTCCTTTACTACGGTAGGCCTCAAAGAAGTGCAATTATCCCCTTGCAGTTTCTACAAAAAGAGTGTTTCAAACCTGAACTATCAAAGAAAGGTTCCACACTGTGAGTTGAATGCAGACATCACGAAGAAGGTTCTGAGAATGCTTCTGTTTAGTCAGCTGAAATTATCCCGTTTCCAACGAATTCCTCAGAGAGGTCCAAATATGCACTTGCAGATTCTGCAGAAAGTGTGTTTCTAAACTGCTACATCGCAAGGAATGTTCAGCTCTGTGAGTTCCACTCAATCATCCCAAAGAATTTTCTGAGAAAGCTTCTGTCTAGATGTCATGTGAAGATATACCCGTTTTGAACGAAGGACACAGAGTGGTCCAAATATCCACTTGTAGATCCTGCAAAAAGAGTGTTTCAAACGTGAACTTTGAAAGGAAAGTTCAACTCTGGGATTTGAATGCAAACATCACAAAGAAGATTCTGAGACTGTTTCTGTATAGTTTTTATGTGAAGATGATTCCGTTTCCAACGAAATCTTCAGAGAGGTCTACATGTCCCCTTGCAGATGCCACAGAAAGAGAGTTTCAAAACTGCGCTCTCAAAAGGAGTGTTCAACTCCGTGAGTTGAATGCAGTCATCACAGAGAAGCTTCTGAGAATGCTTCTATCTAGTATTTAGGTGAAGATATTTCCTTTTCCACCACAAACCACAAAGCCCTCCAAACGTCCACTTGCAGATTCTAGAAAAAGAGTGTTTCATAGCTGCTCTTTCCAAAGGAAAGTTCAACTCTGGGAGTTGAATACAAACATCACCAAAAAGTTCCTGAGAATGCATCTGTCTAGTTTTTCTATGAAGCTATTCCCTTTACTACCATAGGCCTCAAAGCGCTCCAAATCTCCACTTGCACATTCCACAAGAAGAGTGTTTCCAAACTGCTCTATCAATAGGAATGTTCAACTCTGTGAGGTGAATGCAATCATCACAAAGCAGTTTACTGAGAATGCTTCCGTTTAGTTAGGTGCAGTTATCCCGTTTCCAACGAAATCCTCAGAGAGGTCCAAATATCCACTTGTAGATTCTACAAAAAGTGTGTCTCAAACCTGCTCCATCCAAAGGAATGGTCAGCTCTGTGATTTAAACTCAATCATCACAAAGTATTTTCTGAGAATGCTTCTGTCTAGATTTTATGCGAAGATATACCCGTTTCGAACGAAGGCCACAGAGTGGTCCAAATAGCCACTTGCAGATCCTACAGAAAGAGTGTTTCAAACCTGAACTATCAAAGGAAGGTTCAACTCTGGGATTTGAATGCAAACATCACCAAGAAGTTTCTGAGAATGCTTCTGTTAAGTTTTTATGTGAAGATATTCCCGTTTCCAAAGACATCTTCGGAGAGGTCCACATATCCACTTGCAGATTCCACAAAAAGAGAGTTTCAACACTGCTCTATCCATAGGAGGGTTCAACTCTGTGAGTTGAATGCAATCATCACAGAGAAGTTTCTGAGAAGGCTTCTCTCCAGTTTTTATGTGACCATAATTCGTTTTCCACCACAGGCCTGAAAGCGCTCCAAATGTCCACTTGTAGACACTACGAAAAGCATGTTTCAGAACTACTCTATGAAAAGCAATGTGAAACTCTGGGAGTTGAACACAAACATCACAGAGAAGTTTCTGAGAATGCTTCTGTTTAGCTTTTCTGTGAAGATTCTCCCGTTTCCAACGAAATCTTCAAAGAGGTCCAAATATCCACTTGCAGATTCCACAGAAAGAGTGTTTGGAAACTGCTGTTTGAAAAGGAACCTTCAACTCTGTGACTTGAATGCAATCATCACAAAGAAGTTTCTGACAATGCTTCTATCTAGCTTTTACGGGAAGATAATTCCTTTTCCACCACAGGCCTCAAAGCTCCCCAAATGTCCACTTGCACATTCTGGAAAAAGAGTGTTTCAAAGCTTCTCTCTCGAAAGGAAAGTTCAACTCTGTGAGTTGAATGCAAGCATCACAAAGAAGTTTCTGAGAATGCTACTGTCTAGCTTTTATATGAAGCTATTTCCTTTACTACCATAGGCCTCAAAGCGGTCCATATCTCCACTTGCAGATTCTACACAAAGAGAGTTTCCAAACTGCTCTGTCAAAGGGAATGTTCAACTCTGTGACTTGAATGCAATCATCACAAAGTAGTTTCTGAGAATGCTTCTGTTTAGTTCTGTGCGGTTTATCCCGTTTCCAACGAAATCCTCAGAGAGGCCCACATATCCACTTGCACATTCTACAAATAGTGTGTTTCGAAACTGCTCCATCCAAAGGAATGTTCAGCTCTGTGAGTTAAACTCAGTCGTCACCAAGAGTTTTCTGTGAATGCTTCTGTTTTAGTTCTGTGTGGTTTATCCCGTTTCCAACGAAATCCTCAGAGAGGTCAAAATATCTACTTGCAGTTTCTACAGAAAGACCGTTTCAAACCTGAACTATCAAAGAAAGGTTCAACACTGTGAGTTGAATGCAAACATCACGAAGAAGGTTCTGAGAATGCTTCTGTTTAGTTCTGTGCGGTTTATCCCGTTTCAAACGAAATCCTCAGAGAGGACCAAATATCCACTTGCAGTTTCTACAAAAAGAGTGTTTCAAAGCTGAACTATCAAAGAAAAGTTCAGCACCGTGAGTTGAATGCAAACATCACGAAGAGGGTTCTGAGAATGCTTCTGTCTTCTTTTTATAGGAAGTTATCTCCTTTACTACGGTAGGCCTCAAAAAAGTGCAATGATCCCCTTGCAGTTTCTACAAAAAGAGTGTTTCAAACCTGAACTATCAAAGAAAGGTTCCACACTGTGAGTTGAATGCAGACATCACGAAGAAGGTTCTGAGAATGCTTCTGTTTAGTCAGCTGAAATTATCCGGTTTCCAACGAATTCCTCAGAGAGGTCCACATATGCACTTGCAGATTCTGCAGAAAGTGTGTTTCTAAACTGCTACATCGCAAGGAGTGTTCAGCTCTGTTTGCTCAACTCAATCATCCCAAAGTATTTTCTGAGAAAGCTTCTGTCTAGATGTCATGTGAAGATATACCCGTTTCGAACGAAGGACACAGAGTGGTCCAAATATCCACTTGTAGATCCTGCAAAAAGAGTGTTTCAAACGTGAACTTTGAAAGGCAAGTTCAACTCTGGGATTTGAATGCAAACATCACAAAGAAGATTCTGAGACTGCTTCTGTATAGTTTTTATGTGAAGATGATTCCGTTTCCAACGAAATCTTCAAAGAGGTCTACATGTCCCCTTGCGGATGCCACAGAAAGAGAGTTTCAAAACTGCGCTCTCAAAAGGAGTGTTCAACTCCGTGAGTTGAATGCAGTCATCACAGAGAAGCTTCTGAGAATGCTTCTATCTAGTATTTAGGTGAAGATATTTCCTTTTCCACCACAAACCACAAAGCCCTCCAAACGTCCACTTGCAGATTCTAGAAAAACAGTGTTTCATAGCTGCTCTTTCCAAAGGAAAGTTCAACTCTGGGAGTTGAATACAAACATCACCAAAAAGTTCCTGAGAATGCATCTGTCTAGTTTTTCTATGAAGCTATTCCCTTTACTACCATAGGCCTCAAAGCGCTCCAAATCTCCACTTGCACATTCCACAACAAGAGTGTTTCCAAACTGCTCTATCAATAGGAATGTTCAACTCTGTGAGGTGAATGCAATCATCACAAAGCAGTTTCTGAGAATGCTTCCGTTTAGTTAGGTGCAGTTATCCCGTTTCCAACGAAATCCTCAGAGAGGTCCAAATATCCACTTGTAGATTCTACAAAAAGTGTGTCTCAAACCTGCTCCATCCAAAGGAATGTTCAGCTCTGTGAGTTAAACTCAATCATCACAAAGTATTTTCTGAGAATGCTTCTGTCTAGATTTTATGCGAAGATATACCCGTTTCGAACGAAGGCCACAGAGTGGTCCAAATAGCCACTTGCAGATCCTACAGAAAGAGTGTTTCAAACCTGAACTATCAAAGGAAGGTTCAACTCTGGGATTTGAATGCAAACATCACCAAGAAGTTTCTGAGAATGCTTCTGTTTAGTTTTTATGTGAAGATATTCCCGTTTCCAAAGACATCTTCGGAGAGGTCCACATATCCGCTTGCAGATTCCACAAAAAGAGAGTTTCAACACTGCTCTATCCATAGGAGGGTTCAACTCTGTGAGTTGAATGCAATCATCACAGAGAAGTTTCTGAGAAGGCTTCTCTCCAGTTTTTATGTGACCATAATTCGTTTTCCACCACAGGCCTGAAAGCGCTCCAAATGTCCACTTGCAGACACTACGAAAAGCATGTTTCAGAACTACTCTATGAAAAGCAACGTGAAACTCTGGGAGTTGAACACAAACATCACAGAGAAGTTTCTGAGAATGCTTCTGTTTTAGTTCTGTGCGTTTTATCCCGTTTCCAACGAAATCCTCAGAGAGGCCCAAATATCCACTTGCAGATTCCACAGAAAGAGTGATTGGAAACTGCTGTTTGAAAAGGAACCTTCAACTCTGTGAGTTGAATGCAATCATCACAAAGAAGTTTCTGACAATGCTTCTATCTAGCTTTTACGGGAAGATAATTCCTTTTCCACCACAGGCCTCAAAGCCCTCCAAATGTCCACTTGCAGATTCTGGAAAAAGAGTGTTTCAAAGCTTCTCTCTCGAAAGGAAAGTTCAACTCTGTGAGTTGAATGCAAGCATCACAAAGAAGTTTCTGAGAATGCTGCTGTCTAGCTTTTATATGAAGCTATTTCCTTTACTACCATAGGCCTCAAAGCGGTCCATATCTCCACTTGCAGATTCTACGCAAAGAGAGTTTCCAAACTGCTCTGTCAAAGGGAATGTTCAACTCTGTGACTTGAATGCAATCATCACAAAGTAGTTTCTGAGAATGCTTCTGTTTAGTTCTGTGCGGTTTATCCCGTTTCCAACGAAATCCTCAGAGAGGCCCAAATATCCACTTGCACATTCTACAAATAGTGTGTTTCGAAACTGCTCCATCCAAAGGAATGTTCAGCTCTGTGAGTTAAACTCAGTCGTCACCAAGAGTTTTTTCTGAATGCTTCTGTTTTAGTTCTGTGCGGGTTATCCCGTTTCCAACGAAATCCTCAGAGAGGTCCAAATATCTACTTGCAGTTTCTACAGAAAGACCGTTTCAAACCTGAACTATCAAAGAAAGGTTCAACACTGTGAGTTGAATGCAAACATCACGAAGAAGGTTCTGAGAATGCTTCTGTTTAGTTCTGTGCGTTTTATCCCTTTTCCAACGAAATCCTCAGAGAGGACCAAATATCCATTTGCAGTTTCTACAAAAAGAGTGTTTCAAAGCTGAACTATCAAAGAAAGGTTCAGCACTGTGAGTTGAATGCAAACATCACGAAGAGGGTTCTGAGAATGCTTCTGTCTTCTTTTTATAGGAAGTTATTTCCTTTACTACGGTACTCCTCAAAGAGTGCAATTATCCCCTTGCAGTTTCTACAAAAAGAGTGTTTCAAACCTGAACTATCAAAGAAAGGTTCCACACTGTGAGTTGAATGCAGACATCACGAAGAAGGTTCTGAGAATGCTTCTGTTTAGTCAGCTGAAATTATCCCGTTTCCAACGAATTCCTCAGAGAGGTCCACATATGCACTTGCAGATTCTGCAGAAAGTGTGTTTCTAAACTGCTACATCGCAAGGAATGCTCAGCTCTGTGAGTTCAAATCAATCATCCCAAACAATTTTCTGAGAAAGCTTCTGTCTAGATGTCATGTGAAGATATACCCGTTTCGAACGAAGGACACAGAGTGGTCCAAATATCCACTTGTAGATCCTGCAAAAAGTGTTTCAAACGTGAACTTTGAAAGGAAAGTTCAACTCTGGGATTTGAATGCAAACATCACAAAGAAGATTCTGAGACTGCTTCTGTATAGTTTTTATGTGAAGATGATTCCGTTTCCAACGAAATCTTCAAAGAGGTCTACATGTCCCCTTGCAGATGCCACAGAAAGAGAGTTTCAAAACTGCGCTCTCAAAAGGAGTGTTCAACTCCGTGAGTTGAATGCAGTCATCACAGAGAAGCTTCTGAGAATGCTTCTATCTAGTATTTAGGTGAAGATATTTCCTTTTCCACCACAAACCACAAAGCCCTCCAAACGTCCACTTGCAGATTCTAGAAAAACAGTGTTTCATAGCTGCTCTTTCCAAAGGAAAGTTCAACTCTGGGAGTTGAATACAAACATCACCAAAAAGTTCCTGAGAATGCATCTGTCTAGTTTTTCTATGAAGCTATTCCCTTTACTACCATAGGCCTCAAAGCGCTCCAAATCTCCACTTGCACATTCCACAACAAGAGTGTTTCCAAACTGCTCTATCAATAGGAATGTTCAACTCTGTGAGGTGAATGCAATCATCACAAAGCAGTTTCTGAGAATGCTTCCGTTTAGTTAGGTGCAGTTATCCCGTTTCCAACGAAATCCTCAGAGAGGTCCAAATATCCACTTGTAGATTCTACAAAAAGTGTGTCTCAAACCTGCTCCATCCAAAGGAATGGTCAGCTCTGTGATTTAAACTCAATCATCACAAAGTATTTTCTGAGAATGCTTCTGTCTAGATTTTATGCGAAGATATACCCGTTTCAAACGAAGGCCACAGAGTGGTCCAAATAGCCACTTGCAGATCCTACAGAAAGAGTGTTTCAAACCTGAACTATCAAAGGAAGGTTCAACTCTGGGATTTGAATGCAAACATCACCAAGAAGTTTCTGAGAATGCTTCTGTTTAGTTTTTATGTGAAGATATTCCCGTTTCCAAAGACATCTTCGGAGAGGTCCACATATCCACTTGCAGATTCCACAAAAAGAGAGTTTCAACACTGCTCTATCCATAGGAGGGTTCAACTCTGTGAGTTGAATGCAATCATCACAGAGAAGTTTCTGAGAAGGCTTCTCTCCAGTTTTTATGTGACCATAATTCGTTTTCCACCACAGGCCTGAAAGCGCTCCAAATGTCCACTTGCAGACACTACGAAAAGCATGTTTCAGAACTACTCTATGAAAAGCAACGTGAAACTCTGGGAGTTGAACACAAACATCACAGAGAAGTTTCTGAGAATGCTTCTGTTTAGCTTTTCTGTGAAGATTCTCCCGTTTCCAACGAAATCTTCAAAGAGGTCGAAATATCCACTTGCAGATTCCACAGAAAGAGTGATTGGAAACTGCTGTTTGAAAAGGAACCTTCAACTCTGTGAGTTGAATGCAGTCATCACAAAGAAGTTTCTGACAATGCTTCTATCTAGCTTTTACGGGAAGATAATTCCTTTTCCACCACAGGCCTCAAAGCCCTCCAAATGTCCACTTGCAGATTCTGGAAAAAGAGTGTTTCAAAGCTTCTCTCTCGAAAGGAAAGTTCAACTCTGTGAGTTGAATGCAAGCATCACAAAGAAGTTTCTGAGAATGCTACTGTCTAGCTTTTATATGAAGCTATTTCCTTTACTACCATAGGCCTCAAAGCGGTCCATATCTCCACTTGCAGATTCTACACAAAGAGAGTTTCCAAACTGCTCTGTCAAAGGGAATGTTCAACTCTGTGACTTGAATGCAATCATCACAAAGTAGTTTCTGAGAATGCTTCTGTTTAGTTCTGTGCGGTTTATCCCGTTTCCAACGAAATCCTCAGAGAGGCCCAAATATCCACTTGCACATTCCACAAATAGTGTGTTTCGAAACTGCTCCATCCAAAGGAATGTTCAGCTCTGTGAGTTAAACTCAGTCGTCACCAAGAGTTTTCTGTGAATGCTTCTGTTTTAGTTCTGTGCAGTTTATCCCGTTTCCAACGAAATCCTCAGAGAGGTCCAAATATCTACTTGCAGTTTCTACAGAAAGACCGTTTCAAACCTGAACTATCAAAGAAAGGTTCAACACTGTGAGTTGAATGCAAACATCACGAAGAAGGTTCTGAGAATGCTTCTGTTTAGTTCTGTGCGGTTTATCCCGTTTCCAACGAAATCCTCAGAGAGGACCAAATATCCACTTGCAGTTTCTACAAAAAGAGTGTTTCAAAGCTGAACTATCAAAGAAAGGTTCAGCACTGTGAGTTGAATGCAAACATCACGAAGAGGGTTCTGAGAATGCTTCTGTCTTCTTTTCATAGGAAGTTATTTCCTTTACTACGGTAGGCCTCAAAGAAGTGCAATTATCCCCTTGCAGTTTCTACAAAAAGAGTGTTTCAAAACTGAACTATCAAAGAAAGGTTCCACACTGTGAGTTGAATGCAGACATCACGAAGAAGGTTCTGAGAATGCTTCTGTTTAGTCAGGTGAAATTATCCCGTTTCCAAAGAATTCCTCAGAGAGGTCCACATTTGCACTTGCAGATTCTGCAGAAAGTGTGTTTCTAAACTGCTACATCGCAAGGAGTGTTCAGCTCTGTTTGCTCAACTCAATCATCCCAAAGAATTTTCTGAGAAAGCTTCTGTCTAGATGTCATGTGAAGATATACCCGTTTCGTACGAAGGACACAGAGTGGTCCAAATATCCACTTGTAGATCCTGCAAAAAGAGTGTTTCAAACGTGAACTTTGAAAGGAAAGTTCAACTCTGGGATTTGAATGCAAACATCACAACGAAGATTCTGAGACTGCTTCTGTATAGTTTTTATGTGAAGATGATTCCGTTTCCAACGAAATCTTCAAAGAGGTCTACATGTCCCCTTGCAGATGCCACAGAAAGAGAGTTTCAAAACTGCGCTCTCAAAAGGAGTGTTCAACTCCGTGAGTTGAATGCAGTCATCACAGAGAAGCTTCTGAGAATGCTTCTATCTAGTATTTAGGTGAAGATATTTCCTTTTCCACCACAAACCACAAAGCCCTCCAAACGTCCACTTGCAGATTCTAGAAAAACAGTGTTTCATAGCTGCTCTTTCCAAAGGAAAGTTCAACTCTGGGAGTTGAATACAAACATCACCAAAAAGTTCCTGAGAATGCATCTGTCTAGTTTTTCTATGAAGCTATTCCCTTTACTACCATAGGCCTCAAAGCGCTCCAAATCTCCACTTGCACATTCCACAACAAGAGTGTTTCCAAACTGCTCTATCAATAGGAATGTTCAACTCTGTGAGGTGAATGCAATCATCACAAAGCAGTTTCTGAGAATGCTTCCGTTTAGTTCGGTGCAGTTATCCCGTTTCCAACGAAATCCTCAGAGAGGTCCAAATATCCACTTGTGGATTCTACAAAAAGTGTGTCTCAAGCCTGCTCCATCCAAAGGAATGTTCAGCTCTGTGAGTTAAACTCAATCATCACAAAGTATTTTCTGAGAATGCTTCTGTCTAGATTTTATGCGAAGATATACCCGTTTCGAACGAAGGCCACAGAGTGGTCCAAATATCCACTTGCAGATCCTACAAAAAGAGTGTTTCAAACCTGAACTATCAAAGGAAGGTTCAACTCTGGGATTTGAATGCAAACATCACCAAGAAGTTTCTGAGAATGCTTCTGTTTAGTTTTTATGTGAAGATATTCCCGTTTCCAAAGACATCTTCGGAGAGGTCCACATATCCACTTGCAGATTCCACAAAAAGAGAGTTTCAACACTGCTCTATCCATAGGAGGGTTCAACTCTGTGAGTTGAATGCAGTCATCACAGAGAAGTTTCTGAGAAGGCTTCTCTCCAGTTTTTATGTGACCATAATTCGTTTTCCACCACAGGCCTGAAAGCGCTCCAAATGTCCACTTGCAGACACTACGAAAAGCATGTTTCAGAACTACTCTATGAAAAGCAACGTGAAACTCTGGGAGTTGAACACAAACATCACAGAGAAGTTTCTGAGAATGCTTCTGTTTAGCTTTTCTGTGAAGATTCTCCCGTTTCCAACGAAATCTTCAAAGAGGTCGAAATATCCACTTGCAGATTCCACAGAAAGAGTGATTGGAAACTGCTGTTTGAAAAGGAACCTTCAACTCTGTGAGTTGAATGCAATCATCTCAAAGAAGTTTCTGACAATGCTTCTATCTAGCTTTTACGGGAAGATAATTCCTTTTCCACCACAGGCCTCAAAGCCCTCCAAATGTCCACTTGCAGATTCTGGAAAAAGAGTGTTTCAAAGCTTCTCTCTCGAAAGGAAAGTTCAACTCTGTGAGTTGAATGCAAGCATCACAAAGAAGTTTCTGAGAATGCTACTGACTAGCTTTTATATGAAGCTATTTCCTTTACTACCATAGGTCTCAAAGCGGTCCATATCTCCACTTGCAGATTCTACACAAAGAGAGTTTCCAAACTGCTCTGTCAAAGGGAATGTTCAACTCTGTGACTTGAATGCAATCATCACAAAGTAGTTTCTGAGAATGCTTCTGTTTTAGTTCTGTGCAGTTTATCCCGTTTCCAACGAAATCCTCAGAGAGGCCCAAATATCCACCTGCAGATTCTACAAAGAGTGTGTTTCGAAACTGCTCCATCCAAGGGAATGTTCAGCTCTGTGAGTTAAACTCAGTCGTCACCAAGAGTTTTCTGTGAATGCTTCTGTTTAGTTCTGTGCGGTTTATCCCTTTTCCAACGAAATCCTCAGAGAGGTCCAAATATCTACTTGCAGTTTCTACAGAAAGACCGTTTCCAACCTGAACTATCAAAGAAAGGTTCAACACTGTGAGTTGAATGCAAACATCACGAAGAGGGTTCTGAGAATGCTTCTGTTTTAGTTCTGTGCGGTCTATCCCGTTTCCAAAGAAATCCTCAGAGAGGTCCAAATATCCACTTGCAGTTTCTACAAAAAGAGTGTTTCAAAGCTGAACTATCAAAGAAAGGTTCAGCACTGTGATTTGAATGCAAACATCACGAAGAAGTTTCTGAGAATGCTTCTGTTTCGTTCTGTGCGGTTTATCCCGTTTCCAACGAAAACCTCAGAGAGGACCAAATATCCACTTGCAGTTTCTACAAAAAGAGTGTTTCAAAGCTGAACTATCAAAGAAAGTTTCAGCACTGTGAGTTGAATGCAAACATCACGAAGAAGGTTCTGAGAATGCTTCTGTTTAGTCAGCTGAAATTATCCCGTTTCCAACGAATTCCTCAGAGAGGTCCAAATATGCACTTGCAGATTCTGCAGAAAGTGTGTTTCTAAACTGCTACATCGCAAGGAATGTTCAGCTCTGTGAGTTCCACTCAATCATCCCAAAGAATTTTCTGAGAAAGCTTCTGTCTAGATGTCATGTGAAGATATACCCGTTTCGAACGAAGGACACAGAGTGGTCCAAATATCCACTTGTAGATCCTGCAAAAAGAGTGTTTCAAACGTGAACTTTGAAAGGAAAGTTCAACTCTGGGATTTGAATGCAAACATCACAAAGAAGATTCTGAGACTGCTTCTGTATAGTTTTTATGTGAAGATGATTCCGTTTCCAACGAAATCTTCAAAGAGGTCTACATGTCCCCTTGCAGATGCCACAGAAAGAGAGTTTCAAAACTGCGCTCTCAAAAGGAGTGTTCAACTCCGTGAGTTGAATGCAGTCATCACAGAGAAGCTTCTGAGAATGCTTCTGTCTAGTATTTAGGTGAAGATATTTCCTTTTCCACCACAAACCACAAAGCCCTCCAAACGTCCACTTGCAGATTCTAGAAAAAGTGTGTTTCATAGCTGCTCTTTACAAAGGAAAGTTCAACTCTGGGAGTTGAATACAAACATCACCAAAAAGTTCCTGAGAATGCATCTGTCTAGTTTTTCTATGAAGCTATTCCCTTTGCTACCACAGGCCTCAAAGCGCTCCAAATCTCCACTTGCACATTCCACAACAAGAGTGTTTCCAAACTGCTCTATCAATAGGAATGTTCAACTCTGTGAGGTGAATGCAATCATCACAAAGCAGTTTCTGAGAATGCTTCCGTTTAGTTAGGTGCAGTTATCCCGTTTCCAACGAAATCCTCAGAGAGGTCCAAATATCCACTTGTAGATTCTACAAAAAGTGTGTCTCAAACCTGCTCCATCCAAAGGAATGTTCAGCTCTGTGATTTAAACTCAATCATCACAAAGTATTTTCTGAGAATGCTTCTGTCTAGATTTTATGCGAAGATATACCCGTTTCGAACGAAGGCCACAGAGTGGTCCAAATAGCCACTTGCAGATCCTACAGAAAGAGTGTTTCAAACCTGAACTATCAAAGGAAGGTTCAACTCTGGGATTTGAATGCAAACATCACCAAGAAATTTCTGAGAATGCTTCTGTTTAGTTTTTATGTGAAGATATTCCCGTTTCCAAAGACATCTTCGGAGAGGTCCACATATCCACTTGCAGATTCCACAAAAAGAGAGTTTCAACACTGCTCTATCCATAGGAGGGTTCAACTCTGTGAGTTGAATGCAATCATCACAGAGAAGTTTCTGAGAAGGCTTCTCTCCAGTTTTTATGTGACCATAATTCGTTTTCCACCACAGGCCTGAAAGCGCTCCAAATGTCCACTTGCAGACACTACGAAAAGCATGTTTCAGAACTACTCTATGAAAAGCAACGTGAAACTCTGGGAGTTGAACACAAACATCACAGAGAAGTTTCTGAGAATGCTTCTGTTTTAGTTCTGTGCGTTTTATCCCGTTTCCAACGAAATCCTCAGAGAGGCCCAAATATCCACTTGCAGATTCCACAGAAAGAGTGATTGGAAACTGCTGTTTGAAAAGGAACCTTCAACTCTGTGAGTTGAATGCAATCATCACAAAGAAGTTTCTGACAATGCTTCTATCTAGCTTTTACGGGAAGATAATTCCTTTCCCTCCACAGGCCTCAAAGCTCCCCAAATGTCCACTTGCACATTCTGGAAAAAGAGTGTTTCAAAGCTTCTCTCTCGAAAGGAAAGTTCAACTCTGTGAGTTGAATGCAAGCATCACAAAGAAGTTTCTGAGAATGCTACTGTCTAGCTTTTATATGAAGCTATTTCCTTTACTACCATAGGCCTCAAAGCGGTCCATATCTCCACTTGCAGATTCTACACAAAGAGAGTTTCCAAACTGCTCTGTCAAAGGGAATGTTCAACTCTGTGACTTGAATGCAATCATCACAAAGTAGTTTCTGAGAATGCTTCTGTTTAGTTCTGTGCGGTTTATCCCGTTTCCAACGAAATCCTCAGAGAGGCCCAAATATCCACTTGCACATTCTACAAATAGTGTGTTTCGAAACTGCTCCATCCAAAGGAATGTTCAGCTCTGTGAGTTAAACTCAGTCGTCACCAAGAGTTTTCTGTGAATGCTTCTGTTGTAGTTCTGTGCGGTTTATCCCGTTTCCAACGAAATCCTCAGAGAGGTCCAAATATCTACTTGCAGTTTCTACAGAAAGACCGTTTCAAACCTGAACTATCAAAGAAAGGTTCAACACTGTGAGTTGAATGCAAACATCACGAAGAAGGTTCTGAGAATGCTTCTGTTTTAGTTCTGTGCGGTTTATCCCGTTTCCAACGAAATCCTCAGAGAGGACCAAACATCCACTTGCAGTTTCTACAAAAAGAGTGTTTCAAAGCTGCACTATCAAAGAAAGGTTCAGCACTGTGAGTTGAATGCAAACATCACGAAGAGGGCTCTGAGAATTCTTCTGTCTTCTTTCTATAGGAAGTTATTTCCTTTACTACGGTAGGCCTCAAAGAAGTGCAATTATCCCCTTGCAGTTTCTACAAAAAGAGTGTTTCAAACCTGAACTATCAAAGAAAGGTTCCACACTGTGAGTTGAATGCAGACATCACGAAGAAGGTTCTGAGAATGCTTCTGTTTAGTCAGCTGAAATTATCCCGTTTCCAACGAATTCCTCAGAGAGGTCCAAATATGCACTTGCAGATTCTGCAGAAAGTGTGTTTCTAAACTGCTCCATCGCAAGGAATGTTCAGCTCTGTGAGTTCCACTCAATCATCCCAAAGAATTTTCTGAGAAAGCTTCTGTCTAGATGTCGTGTGAAGTTATACCCGTTTCGAACGAAGGACACAGAGTGGTCCAAATATCCACTTGTAGATCCTGCAAAAAGAGTGTTTCAAACGTGAACTTTGAAAGGAAAGTTCAACTCTGGGATTTGAATGCAAACATCACAAAGAAGATTCTGAGACTGCTTCTGTATAGTTTTTATGTGAAGATGATTCCGTTTCCAACGAAATCTTCAAAGAGGTCTACATGTCCCCTTGCAGATGCCACAGAAAGAGAGTTTCAAAACTGCGCTCTCAAAAGGAGTGTTCAACTCCGTGAGTTGAATGCAGTCATCACAGAGAAGCTTCTGAGAATGCTTCTATCTAGTATTTAGGTGAAGATATTTCCTTTTCCACCACAAACCACAAAGCCCTCCAAACGTCCACTTGCAGATTCTAGAAAAACAGTGTTTCATAGCTGCTCTTTCCAAAGGAAAGTTCAACTCTGGGAGTTGAATACAAACATCACCAAAAAGTTCCTGAGAATGCATCTGTCTAGTTTTTCTATGAAGCTGTTCCCTTTACTACCATAGGCCTCAAAGCGCTCCAAATCTCCACTTGCACATTCCACAACAAGAGTGTGTCCAAACTGCTCTATCAATAGGAATGTTCAACTCTGTGAGGTGAATGCAATCATCACAAAGCAGTTTCTGAGAATGCTTCCGTTTAGTTAGGTGCAGTTATCCCGTTTCCAACGAAATCCTCAGAGAGGTCCAAATATCCACTTGTAGATTCTACAAAAAGTGTGTCTCAAACCTGCTCCATCCAAAGGAATGTTCAGCTCTGTGAGTTCAACTCAATCATCACAAAGTATTTTCTGAGAATGCTTCTGTCTAGATTTTATGCGAAGATGTACCCGTTTCGAACGAAGGCCACAGAGTGGTCCAAATATCCACTTGCAGATCCTACAAAAAGAGTGTTTCAAACCTGAACTGTCAAAGGAAGGTTCAACTCTGGGATTTCAATGCAAACATCACCAAGAAGTTTCTGAGAATGCTTCTGTTTAGTTATTATGTGAAGATATTCCCGTTTCCAAAGACATCTTCGGAGAGGTCCACATATCCACTTGCAGATTCCACAAAAAGAGAGTTTCAACACTGCTCTATCCATAGGAGGGTTCAACTCTGTGAGTTGAATGCAATCATCACAGAGAAGTTTCTGAGAAGGCTTCTCTCCAGTTTTTATGTGACCATAATTCGTTTTCCACCACAGGACTGGAAGCGCTCCAAATGTCCACTTGTAGACACTACGAAAACCATGTTTCAGAACTACTCTATGAAAAGCAATGTGAAACTCTGGGAGTTGAACACAAACATCACAGAGAAGTTTCTGAGAATGCTTCTGTTTAGCTTTCCTGTGAAGATTCTCCCGTTTCCAACGAAATCTTCAAAATAGGTCCAAATATCCACTTGCAGATTCCACACAAAGAGTGATTGGAAACTGCTCTTTGAAAAGGAACCTTCAACTCTGTGAGTTGAATGCAATCATCACAAAGAAGTTTCTGACAATGCTTCTATCTAGCTTATACGGGAAGATAATTCATTTTCCACCACAGGCCTCAAAGCCCTCCAAATGTCCACTTGCAGATTCTGGAAAAAGAGTGTTTCAAAGCTTCTCTCTCGAAAGGAAAGTTCAACTCTGTGAGTTGAATACAAGCATCACAAAGAAGTTTCTGAGAATGCTACTGTCTAGCTTTTATATGAAGCTATTTCCTTTACTACCATAGGCCTCAAAGCGGTCCATATCTCCACTTGCAGATTCTACACAAAGAGAGTTTCCAAACTGCTCTGTCAAAGGGAATGTTCAACTCTGTGACTTGAATGCAATCATCACAAAGTAGTTTCTGAGAATGCTTCTGTTTTAGTTCTGTGCGGTTTATCCCGTTTCCAACGAAATCCTCAGAGAGGCCCACATATCCACTTGCAGATTCTACAAATAGTGTGTTTTGAAACTGCTCCATCCAAAGGAATGTTCAGCTCTGTGAGTTAAACTCAGTCGTCACCAAGAGTTTTCTGTGAATGCTTCTGTTTAGTTCTGTGCGTTTTATCCCTTTTCCAACGAAATCCTCAGAGAGGACCAAATATCCATTTGCAGTTTCTACAAAAAGAGTGTTTCAAAGCTGAACTATCAAAGAAAGGTTCAGCACTGTGAGTTGAATGCAAACATCACGAAGAGGGTTCTGAGAATGCTTCTGTCTTCTTTTTATAGGAAGTTATTTCCTTTACTACGGTACTCCTCAAAGAGTGCAATTATCCCCTTGCAGTTTCTACAAAAAGAGTGTTTCAAACCTGAACTATCAAAGAAAGGTTCCACACTGTGAGTTGAATGCAGACATCACGAAGAAGGTTCTGAGAATGCTTCTGTTTAGTCAGCTGAAATTATCCCGTTTCCAACGAATTCCTCAGAGAGGTCCAAATATGCACTTGCAGATTCTGCAGAAAGTGTGTTTCTAAACTGCTACATCGCAAGGAATGTTCAGCTCTGTGAGTTCCACTCAATCATCCCAAAGAATTTTCTGAGAAAGCTTCTGTCTAGATGTCGTGTGAAGATATACCCGTTTCGAACGAAGGACACAGAGTGGTCCAAATATCCACTTGTAGATCCTGCAAAAAGAGTGTTTCAAACGTGAACTTTGAAAGGAAAGTTCAACTCTGGTATTTGAATGCAAACATCACAAAGAAGATTCTGAGACTGCTTCTGTATAGTTTTTATGTGAAGATGATTCCGTTTCCAACGAAATCTTCAAAGAGGTCTACATGTCCCCTTGCAGATGCCACAGAAAGAGAGTTTCAAAACTGCGCTCTCAAAAGGAGTGTTCAACTCCGTGAGTTGAATGCAGTCATCACAGAGAAGCTTCTGAGAATGCTTCTATGTAGTATTTAGGTGAAGATATTTCCTTTTCCACCACAAACCACAAAGCCCTCCAAACGTCCACTTGCAGATTCTAGAAAAAGAGTGTTTCATAGCTGCTCTTTCCAAAGGAAAGTTCAACTCTGGGAGTTGAATACAAACATCACCAAAATGTTCCTGAGAATGCATCTGTCTAGTTTTTCTATGAAGCTATTCCCTTTACTACCATAGGCCTCAAAGCGCTCCAAATCTCCACTTGCACATTCCACAACAAGAGTGTTTCCAAACTGCTCTATCAATAGGAATGTTCAACTCTGTGAGGTGAATGCAATCATCACAAAGCAGTTTCTGAGAATGCTTCCGTTTAGTTAGGTGCAGTTATCCCGTTTCCAACGAAATCCTCAGAGAGGTCCAAATATCCACTTGTAGATTCTACAAAAAGTGTGTCTCAAACCTGCTCCATCCAAAGGAATGTTCAGCTCTGTGAGTTCAACTCAATCATCACAAAGTATTTTCTGAGAATGCTTCTGTCTAGATTTTATGCGAAGATATACCCGTTTCGAACGAAGGCCACAGAGTGGTCCAAATAGCCACTTGCAGATCCTACAGAAAGAGTGTTTCAAACCTGAACTATCAAAGGAAGGTTCAACTCTGGGATTTGAATGCAAACATCACCAAGAAGTTTCTGAGAATGTCTGTTTAGTTTTTATGTGAAGATATTCCCGTTTCCAAAGACATCTTCGGAGAGGTCCACATATCCACTTGCAGATTCCACAAAAAGAGAGTTTCAACACTGCTCTATCCATAGGAGGGTTCAACTCTGTGAGTTGAATGCAATCATCACAGAGAAGTTTCTGAGAAGGCTTCTCTCCAGTTTTTATGTGACCATAATTCGTTTTCCACCACAGGCCTGAAAGCGCTCCAAATGTCCACTTGCAGACACTACGAAAAGCATGTTTCAGAACTACTCTATGAAAAGCAACGTGAAACTCTGGGAGTTGAACACAAACATCACAGAGAAGTTTCTGAGAATGCTTCTGTTTTAGTTCTGTGCGTTTTATCCCGTTTCCAACGAAATCCTCAGAGAGGCCCAAATATCCACTTGCAGATTCCACAGAAAGAGTGATTGGAAACTGCTGTTTGAAAAGGAACCTTCAACTCTGTGAGTTGAATGCAATCATCACAAAGAAGTTTCTGACAATGCTTCTATCTAGCTTTTACGGGAAGATAATTCCTTTTCCACCACAGGCCTCAAAGCCCTCCAAATGTCCACTTGCAGATTCTGGAAAAAGAGTGTTTCAAAGCTTCTCTCTCGAAAGGAAAGTTCAACTCTGTGAGTTGAATGCAAGCATCACAAAGAAGTTTCTGAGAATGCTACTGTCTAGCTTTTATATGAAGCTATTTCCTTTACTACCATAGGCCTCAAAGCGGTCCATATCTCCACTTGCAGATTCTACACAAAGAGAGTTTCCAAACTGCTCTGTCAAAGGGAATGTTCAACTCTGTGACTTGAATGCAATCATCACAAAGTAGTTTCTGAGAATGCTTCTGTTTAGTTCTGTGCGGTTTATCCCGTTTCCAACGAAATCCTCAGAGAGGTCCAAATATCCACTTGCACATTCTACAAATAGTGTGTTTCGAAACTGCTCCATCCAAAGGAATGTTCAGCTCTGTGAGTTAAACTCAGTCGTCACCAAGAGTTTTCTGTGAATGCTTCTGTTTTAGTTCTGTGCGGTTTATCCCGTTTCCAACGAAATCCTCAGAGAGGTCCAAATATCTACTTGCAGTTTCTACAGAAAGACCGTTTCAAACCTGAACTATCAAAGAAAGGTTCAACACTGTGAGTTGAATGCAAACATCACGAAGAAGGTTCTGAGAATGCTTCTGTTTTAGTTCTGTGCGGTTTATCCCGTTTCCAACGAAATCCTCAGAGAGGACCAAACATCCACTTGCAGTTTCTACAAAAAGAGTGTTTCAAAGCTGCACTATCAAAGAAAGGTTCAGCACTGTGAGTTGAATGCAAACATCACGAAGAGGGCTCTGAGAATGCTTCTGTCTTCTTTCTATAGGAAGTTATTTCCTTTACTACGGTAGGCCTCAAAGAAGTGCAATTATCCCCTTGCAGTTTCTACAAAAAGAGTGTTTCAAACCTGAACTATCAAAGAAAGGTTCCACACTGTGAGTTGAATGCAGACATCACGAAGAAGGTTCTGAGAATGCTTCTGTTTAGTCAGCTGAAATTATCCCGTTTCCAACGAATTCCTCAGAGAGGTCCAAATATGCACTTGCAGATTCTGCAGAAAGTGTGTTTCTAAACTGCTACATCGCAAGGAATGTTCAGCTCTGTGAGTTCCACTCAATCATCCCAAAGAATTTTCTGAGAAAGCTTCTGTCTAGATGTCATGTGAAGATATACCCGTTTCGAACGAAGGACACAGAGTGGTCCAAATATCCACTTGTAGATCCTGCAAAAAGAGTGTTTCAAACGTGAACTTTGAAAGGGAAGTTCAACTCTGGGATTTGAATGCAAACATCACAAAGAAGATTCTGAGACTGCTTCTGTATAGTTTTTATGTGAAGATGATTCCGTTTCCAACGAAATCTTCAAAGAGGTCTACATGTCCCCTTGCAGATGCCACAGAAAGAGAGTTTCAAAACTGCGCTCTCAAAAGGAGTGTTCAACTCCGTGAGTTGAATGCAGTCATCACAGAGAAGCTTCTGAGAATGCTTCTATCTAGTATTTAGGTGAAGATATTTCCTTTTCCACCACAAACCACAAAGCCCTCCAAACGTCCACTTGCAGATTCTAGAAAAAGAGTGTTTCATAGCTGCTCTTTCCAAAGGAAAGTTCAACTCTGGGAGTTGAATACAAACATCACCAAAAAGTTCCTGAGAATGCATCTGTCTAGTTTTTCTATGAAGCTATTCCCTTTACTACCATAGACCTCAAAGCGCTCCAAATCTCCACTTGCACATTCCACAACAAGAGTGTTTCCAAACTGCTCTATCAATAGGAATGTTCAACTCTGTGAGGTGAATGCAATCATCACAAAGCAGTTTCTGAGAATGCTTCCGTTTAGTTAGGTGCAGTTATCCCGTTTCCAACGAAATCCTCAGAGAGGTCCAAATATCCACTTGTAGATTCTACAAAAAGTGTGTCTCAAACCTGCTCCATCCAAAGGAATGGTCAGCTCTGTGATTTAAACTCAATCATCACAAAGTATTTTCTGAGAATGCTTCTGTCTAGATTTTATGCGAAGATGTACCCGTTTCGAACGAAGGCCACAGAGTGGTCCAAATATCCACTTGCAGATCCTACAAAAAGAGTGTTTCAAACCTGAACTCTCAAAGGAAGGTTCAACTCTGGGATTTGAATGCAAACATCACCAAGAAGTTTCTGAGAATGCTTCTGTTTAGTTTTTATGTGAAGATATTCCCGTTTCCAAAGACATCTTCGGAGGGGTCCACATATCCAATTGCAGATTCCACAAAAAGAGAGTTTCAACACTGCTCTATCCATAGGAGGGTTCAACTCTGTGAGTTGAATGCAATCATCACAGAGAAGTTTCTGAGAAGGCTTCTCTCCAGTTTTTATGTGACCATAATTCGTTTTCCACCACAGGCCTGAAAGCGCTCCAAATGTCCACTTGCAGACACTATGAAAAGCATGTTTCAGAACTACTCTATGAGAAGCAATGTGAAACTCTGGGAGTTGCACACAAACATCACAGAGAAGTTTCTGAGAATGCTTCTGTTTAGCTTTTCTGTGAAGATTCTCCCGTTTCCAACGAAATCTTCAAAGAGGTCCAAATATCCACTTGCAGATTCCACAGAAAGAGTGTTTGGAAACTGCTGTTTGTAAAGGAACCTTCATTCTCTGTGAGTTGAATGCAATCATCACAAAGAAGTTTCTGACAATGCTTCTATCTAGTTTTTACGGGAAGATATTCCCTTTTCCAACACAGGCCTCAAAGCCCTCCAAATGTCCACTTGCAGATTCTAGAAAAAGAGTGTTTCAAAGCTTCTCTCTCAAAAGGAAAGTTCAACTCTGTGAGTTGAATGCAAACATCACAAAGAAGTTTCTGAGAATGCTACTGTCTAGCTTTTATATGAAGCTATTTCCTTTACTACCATAGGCCTCAAAGCGGTCCATATCTCCACTTGCAGATTCTACACAAAGAGAGTTTCCAAACTGCTCTGTCAAAGGGAATGTTCAACTCTGTGACTTGAATGCAATCATCACAAAGTAGTTTCTGAGAATGCTTCTGTTTAGTTCTGTGCGGTTTATCCCGTTTCCAACGAAATCCTCAGAGAGGCCTAAATATCCACTTGCACATTCTACAAATAGTGTGTTTCGAAACTGCTCCATCCAAAGGAATGTTCAGCTCTGTGAGTTAAACTCAGTCGTCACCAAGAGTTTTCTGTGAATGCTTCTGTTTTAGTTCTGTGCGGGTTATCCCGTTTCCAACGAAATCCTCAGAGAGGTCCAAATATCTACTTGCAGTTTCTACAGAAAGACCGTTTCAAACCTGAACTATCAAAGAAAGGTTCAACACTGTGAGTTGAATGCAAACATCACGAAGAAGGTTCTGAGAATGCTTCTGTTTTAGTTCTGTGCGGTTTATCCCGTTTCCAACGAAATCCTCAGAGAGGACCAAATATCCACTTGCAGTTTCTACAAAAAGAGTGTTTCAAAGCTGCACTATCAAAGAAAGGTTCAGCACTGTGAGTTGAATGCAAACATCACGAAGAGGGCTCTGAGAATTCTTCTGTCTTCTTTCTATAGGAAGTTATTTCCTTTACTACGGTAGGCCTCAAAGAAGTGCAATTATCCCCTTGCAGTTTCTACAAAAAGAGTGTTTCAAACCTGAACTATCAAAGAAAGGTTCCACACTGTGAGTTGAATGCAGACATCACGAAGAAGGTTCTGAGAATGCTTCTGTTTAGTCAGCTGAAATTATCCCGTTTCCAACGAATTCCTCAGAGAGGTCCAAATATGCACTTGCAGATTCTGCAGAAGGTGTGTTTCTAAACTGCTACATCGCAAGGAATGTTCAGCTCTGTGAGTTCCACTCAATCATCCCAAAGAATTTTCTGAGAAAGCTTCTGTCTAGATGTCATGTGAAGATATACCCGTTTCGAACGAAGGACACAGAGTGGTCCAAATATCCACTTGTAGATCCTGCAAAAAGAGTGTTTCAAACGTGAACTTTGAAAGGAAAGTTCAACTCTGGGATTTGAATGCAAACATCACAAAGAAGATTCTGAGACTGCTTCTGTATAGTTTTTATGTGAAGATGATTCCGTTTCCAACGAAATCTTCAAAGAGGTCTACATGTCCCCATGCAGATGCCACAGAAACAGAGTTTCAAAACTGCCCTCTCAAAAGGAGTGTTCAACTCCGTGAGTTGAATGCAGTCATCACAGAGAAGCTTCTGAGAATGCTTCTATCTAGTATTTAGGTGAAGATATTTCCTTTTCCACCACAAACCACAAAGCCCTCCAAACGTCCACTTGCAGATTCTAGAAAAAGAGTGTTTCATAGCTGCTCTTTCCAAAGGAAAGTTCAACTCTGGGAGTTGAATACAAACATCACCAAAAAGTTCCTGAGAATGCATCTGTCTAGTTTTTCTATGAAGCTATTCCCTTTACTACCATAGGCCTCAAAGCACTCCAAATCTCCACTTGCACATTCCACAACAAGAGTGTTTCCAAACTGCTCTATCAATAGGAATGTTCAACTCTGTGAGGTGAATGCAATCATCACAAAGCAGTTTCTGAGAATGCTTCCGTTTAGTTAGGTGCAGTTATCCCGTTTCCAACGAAATCCTCAGAGAGGTCCAAATATCCACTTGTAGATTCTACAAAAAGTGTGTCTCAAACCTGCTCCATCCAAAGGAATGTTCAGCTCTGTGAGTTAAACTCAATCATCACAAAGTATTTTCTGAGAATGCTTCTGTCTAGATTTTATGCGAAGATATACCCGTTTCGAACGAAGGCCACAGAGTGGTCCAAATAGCCACTTGCAGATCCTACAAAAAGAGTGTTTCAAACCTGAACTATCAAAGGAAGGTTCAACTCTGGGATTTGAATGCAAACATCACCAAGAAGTTTCTGAGAATGCTTCTGTTTAGTTTTTATGTGAAGATATTCCCGTTTCCAAAGACATCTTCGGAGAGGTCCACATATCCACTTGCAGATTCCACAAAAAGAGAGTTTCAACACTGCTCTATCCATAGGAGGGTTCAACTCTGTGAGTTGAATGCAATCATCACAGAGAAGTTTCTGAGAAGGCTTCTCTCCAGTTTTTTTGTGACCATAATTCGTTTTCCACCACAGGCCTGAAAGTGCTCCAAATGTCCACTTGCAGACACTACGAAAAGCATGTTTCAGAACTACTCTATGAAAAGCAACGTGAAACTCTGGGAGTTGAACACAAACATCACAGAGAAGTTTCTGAGAATGCTTCTGTTTAGCTTTTCTGTGAAGATTCTCCCGTTTCCAACGAAATCTTCAAAGAGGTCGAAATATCCACTTGCAGATTCCACAGAAAGAGTGATTGGAAACTGCTGTTTGAAAAGGAACCTTCAACTCTGTGAGTTGAATGCAATCATCACAAAGAAGTTTCTGACAATGCTTCTATCTAGCTTTTACGGGAAGATAATTCCTTTTCCTCCACAGGCCTCAAAGCTCCCCAAATGTCCACTTGCACATTCTGGAAAAAGAGTGTTTCAAAGCTTCTCTCTCGAAAGGAAAGTTCAACTCTGTGAGTTGAATGCAAGCATCACAAAGAAGTTTCTGAGAATGCTACTGTCTAGGTTTTATATGAAGCTATTTCCTTTACTACCATAGGCCTCAAAGCGGTCCATATCTCCACTTGCAGATTCTACACAAAGAGAGTTTCCAAACTGCTCTGTCAAAGGGAATGTTCAACTCTGTGACTTGAATGCAATAATCACAAAGTAGTTTCTGAGAATGCTTCTGTTTTAGTTCTATGCGTTTTATCCCGTTTCCAACGAAATCCTCAGAGAGGCCCAAATATCCACTTGCAGATTCTACAAATAGTGTGTTTCGAAACTGCTCCATCCAAAGGAATGTTCAGCTCTGTGAGTTAAACTCAGTCGTCACCAAGAGTTTTCTGTGAATGCTTCTGTTTTAGTTCTGTGCGGTTTATCCCGTTTCCAACGAAATCCTCAGAGAGGACCAAATATCCACTTGCAGTTTCTACAAAAAGAGTGTTTCAAAGCTGCACTATCAAAGAAAGGTTCAGCACTGTGAGTTGAATGCAAACATCACGAAGAGGGCTCTGAGAATTCTTCTGTTTAGTTCTGTGCGGTTTATCCCGTTTCCAACGAAATCCTCAGAGAGGACCAAATATCCACTTGCAGTTTCTACAAGAAGAGTGTTTCAAAGCTGAACTATCAAAGAAAGGTTCAGCACTGTGAGTTGAATGCAAACATCACGAAGAGGGTTCTGAGAATGCTTCTGTCTTCTTTCTATAGGAAGTTATTTCCTTTACTACGGTAGGCCTCAAAGAAGTGCAATTATCCCCTTGCAGTTTCTACAAAAAGAGTGTTTCAAACCTGAACTATCAAAGAAAGGTTCCACACTGTGAGTTGAATGCAGACATCACGAAGAAGGTTCTGAGAATGCTTCTGTTTAGTCAGCTGAAATTATCCCGTTTCCAACGAATTCCTCAGAGAGGTCCAAATATGCACTTGCAGATTCTGCAGAAAGTGTGTTTCTAAACTGCTACATCGCAAGGAATGTTCAGCTCTGTGAGTTCCACTCAATCATCCCAAAGAATTTTCTGAGAAAGCTTCTGTCTAGATGTCGTGTGAAGATATACCCGTTTCGAACGAAGGACACAGAGTGGTCCAAATATCCACTTGTAGATCCTGCAAAAAGAGTGTTTCAAACGTGAACTTTGAAAGGAAAGTTCAACTCTGGGATTTGAATGCAAACATCACAAAGAAGATTCTGAGACTGCTTCTGTATAGTTTTTATGTGAAGATGATTCCGTTTCCAACGAAATCTTCAAAGAGGTCTACATGTCCCCTTGCAGATGCCACAGAAAGAGAGTTTCAAAACTACGCTCTCAAAAGGAGTGTTCAACTCCGTGAGTTGAATGCAGTCATCACAGAGAAGCTTCTGAGAATGCTTCTGTCTAGTATTTAGGTGAAGATATTTCCTTTTCCACCACAAACCACAAAGCCCTCCAAACGTCCACTTGCAGATTCTAGAAAAAGAGTGTTTCATAGCTGCTCTTTCCAAAGGAAAGTTCAACTCTGGGAGTTGAATACAAACATCACCAAAAAGTTCCTGAGAATGCATCTGTCTAGTTTTTCTATGAAGCTATTCCCTTTACTACCATAGGCCTCAAAGCGCTCCAAATCTCCACTTGCACATTCCACAACAAGAGTGTTTCCAAACTGCTCTATCAATAGGAATGTTCAACTCTGTGAGGTGAATGCAATCATCACAAAGCAGTTTCTGAGAATGCTTCCGTTTAGTTAGGTGCAGTTATCGCGTTTCCAACGAAATCCTCAGAGAGGTCCAAATATCCACTTGTAGATTCTACAAAAAGTGTGTCTCAAACCTGCTCCATCCAAAGGAATGTTCAGCTCTGTGAGTTAAACTCAATCATCACAAAGTATTTTCTGAGAATGCTTCTGTCTAGATTTTATGCGAAGATATACCCGTTTCGAACGAAGGCCACAGAGTGGTCCAAATATCCACTTGCAAATCCTACAAAAAGAGTGTTTCAAACCTGAACTATCAAAGGAAGGTTCAACTCTGGGATTTGAATGCAAACATCACCAAGAAGTTTCTGAGAATGCTTCTGTTTAGTTTTTATGTGAAGATATTCCCGTTTCCAAAGACATCTTCGGAGAGGTCCACATATCCACTTGCAGATTCCACAAAAAGAGAGTTTCAACACTGCTCTATCCATAGGAGGGTTCAACTCTGTGAGTTGAATGCAATCATCACAGAGAAGTTTCTGAGAAGGCTTCTCTCCAGTTTTTATGTGACCATAATTCGTTTTCCACCACAGGCCTGAAAGCGCTCCAAATGTCCACTTGCAGACACTACGAAAAGCATGTTTCAGAACTACTCTATGAAAAGCAACGTGAAACTCTGGGAGTTGAACACAAACATCACAGAGAAGTTTCTGAGAATGCTTCTGTTTTAGTTCTGTGCGTTTTATCCCGTTTCCAACGAAATCCTCAGAGAGGCCCAAATATCCACTTGCAGATTCCACAGAAAGAGTGATTGGAAACTGCTGTTTGAAAAGGAACCTTCAACTCTGTGAGTTGAATGCAATCATCACAAAGAAGTTTCTGACAATGCTTCTGTTTTAGTTCTGTGCGGTTTATCCCGTTTCCAACGAAATCCTCAGAGAGGACCAAACATCCACTTGCAGTTTCTACAAAAATAGTGTTTCAAAGCTGCACTATCAAAGAAAGGTTCAGCACTGTGAGTTGAATGCAAACATCACGAAGAGGGCTCTGAGAATTCTTCTGTTTAGTTCTGTGCGGTTTATCCCGTTTCCAACGAAATCCTCAGAGAGGACCAAATATCCACTTGCAGTTTCTACAAGAAGAGTGTTTCAAAGCTGAACTATCAAAGAAAGGTTCAGCACTGTGAGTTGAATGCAAACATCACGAAGAGGGTTCTGAGAATGCTTCTGTCTTCTTTCTATAGGAAGTTATTTCCTTTACTACGGTAGGCCTCAAAGAAGTGCAATTATCCCCTTGCAGTTTCTACAAAAAGAGTGTTTCAAACCTGAACTATCAAAGAAAGGTTCCACACTGTGAGTTGAATGCAGACATCACGAAGAAGGTTCTGAGAATGCTTCGGTTTAGTCAGCTGAAATTATCCCGTTTCCAACGAATTCCTCAGAGAGGTCCAAATATGCACTTGCAGATTCTGCAGAAAGTGTGTTTCTAAACTGCTACATCGCAAGGAATGTTCAGCTCTGTGAGTTCAACTCAATCATCCCAAAGAATTTTCTGAGAAAGCTTCTGTCTAGATGTCATGTGAAGATATACCCGTTTTGAACGAAGGACACAGAGTGGTCCAAATATCCACTTGTAGATCCTGCAAAAAGAGTGTTTCAAACGTGAACTTTGAAAGGAAAGTTCAACTCTGGGATTTGAATGCAAACATCACAAAGAAGATTCTGAGACTGTTTCTGTATAGTTTTTATGTGAAGATGATTCCGTTTCCAACGAAATCTTCAGAGAGGTCTACATGTCCCCTTGCAGATGCCACAGAAAGAGAGTTTCAAAACTGCGCTCTCAAAAGGAGTGTTCAACTCCGTGAGTTGAATGCACTCATCACAGAGAAGCTTCTGAGAATGCTTCTATCTAGTATTTAGGTGAAGATATTTCCTTTTCCACCACAAACCACAAAGCCCTCCAAACGTCCACTTGCAGATTCTAGAAAAAGAGTGTTTCATAGCTGCTCTTTCCAAAGGAAAGTTCAACTCTGGGAGTTGAATACAAACATCACCAAAAAGTTCCTGAGAATGCACTGTCTAGTTTTTCTATGAAGCTATTCCCTTTACTACCATAGGCCTCAAAGCGCTCCAAATCTCCACTTGCACATTCCACAACAAGAGTGTTTCCAAACTGCTCTATCAATAGGAATGTTCAACTCTGTGAGGTGAATGCAATCATCACAAAGCAGTTTCTGAGAATGCTTTCCGTTTAGTTAGGTGCAGTTATCCCGTTTCCAACGAAATCCTCAGAGAGGTCCAAATATCCACTTGTAGATTCTACAAAAAGTGTGTCTCAAACCTGCTCCATCCAAAGGAATGGTCAGCTCTGTGATTTAAACTCAATCATCACAAAGTATTTTCTGAGAATGCTTCTGTCTAGATTTTATGCGAAGATATACCCGTTTCGAACGAAGGCCACAGAGTGGTCCAAATAGCCACTTGCAGATCCTACAAAAAGAGTGTTTCAAACCTGAACTATCAAAGGAAGGTTCAACTCTGGGATTTGAATGCAAACATCACCAAGAAGTTTCCTGAGAATGCTTCTGTTTAGTTTTTATGTGAAGATATTCCCGTTTCCAAAGACATCTTCGGAGAGGTCCACATATCCACTTGCAGATTCCACAAAAAGAGAGTTTCAACACTGCTCTATCCATAGGAGGGTTCAACTCTGTGAGTTGAATGCAATCATCACAGAGAAGTTTCTGAGAAGGCTTCTCTCCAGTTTTTATGTGACCATAATTCGTTTTCCACCACAGGCCTGAAAGCGCTCCAAATGTCCACTTGCAGACACTACGAAAAGCATGTTTCAGAACTACTCTATGAAAAGCAACGTGAAACTCTGGGAGTTGAACACAAACATCACAGAGAAGTTTCTGAGAATGCTTCTGTTTTAGTTCTGTGCGTTTTATCCCGTTTCCAACGAAATCCTCAGAGAGGCCCAAATATCCACTTGCAGATTCCACAGAAAGAGTGATTGGAAACTGCTGTTTGAAAAGGAACCTTCAACTCTGTGAGTTGAATGCAATCATCACAAAGAAGTTTCTGACAATGCTTCTGTTTTAGTTCTGTGCGGTTTATCCCGTTTCCAACGAAATCCTCAGAGAGGACCAAACATCCACTTGCAGTTTCTACAAAAAGAGTGTTTCAAAGCTGCACTATCAAAGAAAGGTTCAGCACTGTGAGTTGAATGCAAACATCACGAAGAGGGCTCTGAGAATTCTTCTGTTTAGTTCTGTGCGGTTTATCCCGTTTCCAACGAAATCCTCAGAGAGGACCAAATATCCACTTGCAGTTTCTACAAGAAGAGTGTTTCAAAGCTGAACTATCAAAGAAAGGTTCAGCACTGTGAGTTGAATGCAAACATCACGAAGAGGGTTCTGAGAATGCTTCTGTCTTCTTTCTATAGGAAGTTATTTCCTTTACTACGGTAGGCCTCAAAGAAGTGCAATTATCCCCTTGCAGTTTCTACAAAAAGAGTGTTTCAAACCTGAACTATCAAAGAAAGGTTCCACACTGTGAGTTGAATGCAGACATCACGAAGAAGGTTCTGAGAATGCTTCTGTTTAGTCAGCTGAAATTATCCCGTTTCCAACGAATTCCTCAGAGAGGTCCAAATATGCACTTGCAGATTCTGCAGAAAGTGTGTTTCTAAACTGCTACATCGCAAGGAATGTTCAGCTCTGTGAGTTCCACTCAATCATCCCAAAGGATTTTCTGAGAAAGCTTCTGTCTAGATGTCGTGTGAAGATATACCCGTTTCGAACGAAGGACACAGAGTGGTCCAAATATCCACTTGTAGATCCTGCAAAAAGAGTGTTTCAAACGTGAACTTTGAAAGGAAAGTTCAACTCTGGGATTTGAATGCAAACATCACAAAGAAGATTCTGAGACTGCTTCTGTATAGTTTTTATGTGAAGATGATTCCGTTTCCAACGAAATCTTCAAAGAGGTCTACATGTCCCCTTGCAGATGCCACAGAAAGAGAGTTTCAAAACTGCGCTCTCAAAAGGAGTGTTCAACTCCGTGAGTTGAATGCAGTCATCACAGAGAAGCGTCTGAGAATGCTTCTATCTAGTATTTAGGTGAAGATATTTCCTTTTCCACCACAAACCACAAAGCCCTCCAAACGTCCACTTGCAGATTCTAGAAAAAGAGTGTTTCATAGCTGCTCTTTCCAAAGGAAAGTTCAACTCTGGGAGTTGAATACAAACATCACCAAAAAGTTCCTGAGAATGCATCTGTCTAGTTTTTCTATGAAGCTATTCCCTTTACTACCACAGGCCTCAAAGCGCTCCAAATCTCCACTTGCACATTCCACAACAAGAGTGTTTCCAAACTGCTCTATCAATAGGGATGTTCAACTCTGTGAGGTGAATGCAATCATCACAAAGCAGTTTCTGAGAATGCTTCCGTTTAGTTAGGTGCAGTTATCCCGTTTCCAACGAAATCCTCAGAGAGGTCCAAATATCCACTTGTAGATTCTACAAAAAGTGTGTCTCAAACCTGCTCCATCCAAAGGAATGGTCAGCTCTGTGATTTAAACTCAATCATCACAAAGTATTTTCTGAGAATGCTTCTGTCTAGATTTTATGCGAAGATGTACCCGTTTCGAACGAAGGCCACAGAGTGGTCCAAATATCCACTTGCAGATCCTACAAAAAGAGTGTTTCAAACCTGAACTCTCAAAGGAAGGTTCAACTCTGGGATTTGAATGCAAACATCACCAAGAAGTTTCTGAGAATGCTTCTGTTTAGTTTTTATGTGAAGATATTCCCGTTGCCAAAGACATCTTCGGAGAGGTCCACATATCCGCTTGCAGATTCCACAAAAAGAGAGTTTCAACACTGCTCTATCCATAGGAGGGTTCAACTCTGTGAGTTGAATGCAATCATCACAGAGAAGTTTCTGAGAAGGCTTCTCTCCCGTTTTTATGTGACCATAATTCGTTTTCCACCACAGGCCTGAAAGCGCTCCAAATGTCCACTTGCAGACACTACGAAAAGCATGTTTCAGAACTACTCTATGAGAAGCAATGTGAAACTCTGGGAGTTGAACACAAACATCACAGAGAAGTTTCTGAGAATGCTTCTGTTTTAGTTCTGTGCGTTTTATCCCGTTTCCAACGAAATCCTCAGAGAGGCCCAAATATCCACTTGCAGATTCCACAGAAAGAGTGATTGGAAACTGCTGTTTGAAAAGGAACCTTCAACTCTGTGAGTTGAATGCAATCATCACAAAGAAGTTTCTGACAATGCTTCTATCTAGCTTTTACGGGAAGATAATTCCTTTTCCACCACAGGCCTCAAAGCCCTCCAAATGTCCACTTGCAGATTCTGGAAAAAGAGTGTTTCAAAGCTTCTCTCTCGAAAGGAAAGTTCAACTCTGTGAGTTGAATGCAAGCATCACAAAGAAGTTTCTGAGAATGCTACTGTCTAGCTTTTATATGAAGCTATTTCCTTTACTACCATAGGCCTCAAAGCGGTCCATATCTCCACTTGCAGATTCTACACAAAGAGAGTTTCCAAACTGCTCTGTCAAAGGGAATGTTCAACTCTGTGACTTGAATGCAATCATCACAAAGTAGTTTCTGAGAATGCTTCTGTTTAGTTCTGTGCGGTTTATCCCGTTTCCAACGAAATCCTCAGAGAGGCCCACATATCCACTTGCACATTCTACAAATAGTGTGTTTCGAAACTGCTCCATCCAAAGGAATGTTCAGCTCTGTGAGTTAAACTCAGTCGTCACCAAGAGTTTTCTGTGAATGCTTCTGTTTTAGTTCTGTGCGGTTTATCCCGTTTCCAACGAAATCCTCAGAGAGGTCCAAATATCTACTTGCAGTTTCTACAGAAAGACCGTTTCAAACCTGAACTGTCAAAGAAAGGTTCAACACTGTGAGTTGAATGCAAACATCACGAAGAAGGTTCTGAGAATGCTTCTGTTTAGTTCTGTGCGGTTTATCCCGTTTCCAACGAAATCCTCAGAGAGGACCAAATATCCACTTGCAGTTTCTACAAAAAGAGTGTTTCAAAGCTGAACTATCAAAGAAAGGTTCAGCACCGTGAGTTGAATGCAAACATCACGAAGAGGGTTCTGAGAATGCTTCTGTCTTCTTTTTATAGGAAGTTATTTCCTTTACTACGGTAGGCCTCAAAGAAGTGCAATGATCCCCTTGCAGTTTCTACAAAAAGAGTGTTTCAAACCTGAACTATCAAAGAAAGGTTCCACACTGTGAGTTGAATGCAGACATCACGAAGAAGGTTCTGAGAATGCTTCTGTTTAGTCAGCTGAAATTATCCCGTTTCCAACGAATTCCTCACAGAGGTCCACATATGCACTTGCAGATTCTGCAGAAAGTGTGTTTCTAAACTGCTACATCGCAAGGAGTGTTCAGCTCTGTTTGCTGAACTCAATCATCCCAAAGAATTTTCTGAGAAAGCTTCTGTCTAGATGTCATGTGAAGATATACCCGTTTCGAACGAAGGACACAGAGTGGTCCAAATATCCACTTGTAGATCCTGCAAAAAGAGTGTTTCAAACGTGAACTTTGAAAGGAAAGTTCAACTCGGGGATTTGAATGCAAACATCACAAAGAAGATTCTGTGACTGCTTCTGTATAGTTTTTATGTGAAGATGATTCCGTTTCCAACGAAATCTTCAAAGAGGTCTACATGTCCCCTTGCAGATGCCACAGAAAGAGAGTTTCAAAACTGCGCTCTCAAAAGGAGTGTTCAACTCCGTGAGTTGAATGCAGTCATCACAGAGAAGCTTCTGAGAATGCTTCTATCTAGTATTTAGGTGAAGATATTTCCTTTTCCACCACAAACCACAAAGCCCTCCAAACGTCCACTTGCAGATTCTAGAAAAAGAGTGTTTCATAGCTGCTCTTTCCAAAGGAAAGTTCAACTCTGGGAGTTGAATACAAACATCACCAAAAGGTTCCTGAGAATGCATCTGTCTAGTTTTTCTATGAAGCTATTCCCTTTACTACCATAGGCCTCAAAGCGCTCCAAATCTCCACTTGCACATTCCACAACAAGAGTGTTTCCAAACTGCTCTATCAATAGGAATGTTCAACTCTGTGAGGTGAATGCAATCATCACAAAGCAGTTTCTGAGAATGCTTCCGTTTAGTTAGGTGCAGTTATCCCGTTTCCAACGAAATCCTCAGAGAGGTCCAAATATCCACTTGTAGATTCTACAAAAAGTGTGTCTCAAACCTGCTCCATCCAAAGGAATGGTCAGCTCTGTGATTTAAACTCAATCATCACAAAGTATTTTCTGAGAATGCTTCTGTCTAGATTTTATGCGAAGATATAGCCGTTTCGAACGAAGGCCACAGAGTGGTCCAAATATCCACTTGCAGATCCTACAAAAAGAGTGTTTCAAACCTGAACTATCAAAGGAAGGTTCAACTCTGGGATTTCAATGCAAACATCACCAAGAAGTTTCTGAGAATGCTTCTGTTTAGTTTTTATGTGAAGATATTCCCGTTTCCAAAGACATCTTCGGAGAGGTCCACATATCCACTTGCAGATTCCACAAAAAGAGAGTTTCAACACTGCTCTATCCATAGGAGGGTTCAACTCTGTGAGTTGAATGCAATCATCACAGAGAAGTTTCTGAGAAGGCTTCTCTCCAGTTTTTATGTGACCATAATTCGTTTTCCACCACAGGCCTGAAAGCGCTCCAAATGTCCACTTGCAGACACTACGAAAAGCATGTTTCAGAACTACTCTATGAAAAGCAACGTGAAACTCTGGGAGTTGAACACAAACATCACAGAGAAGTTTCTGAGAATGCTTCTGTTTAGCTTTTCTGTGAAGATTATCCCGTTTCCAAAGAAATCTTCAAAATAGGTCCAAATATCCACTTGCAGATTCCACAGAAAGAGTGATTGGAAACTGCTCTTTGAAAAGAAACCTTCAACTCTGTGAGTTGAATGCAATCATCACAAAGAAGTTTCTGACAATGCTTCTATCTAGCTTTTACGGGAAGATAATTCCTTTTCCACCACAGGCCTCAAAGCCCTCCAAATGTCCACTTGCAGATTCTGGAAAAAGAGTGTTTCAAAGCTTCTCTCTCGAAAGGAAAGTTCAACTCTGTGAGTTGAATGCAAGCATCACAAAGAAGTTTCTGAGAATGCTACTGTCTAGCTTTTATATGAAGCTATTTCCTTTACTACCATAGGCCTCAAAGCGGTCCATATCTCCACTTGCAGATTCTACACAAAGAGAGTTTCCAAACTGCTCTGTCAAAGGGAATGTTCAACTCTGTGACTTGAATGCAATCATCACAAAGTAGTTTCTGAGAATGCTTCTGTTTAGGTCTGTGCGGTTTATCCCGTTTCCAACGAAATCCTCAGAGAGGCCCAAATATCCACTTGCACATTCTACAAATAGTGTGTTTCGAAACTGCTCCATCCAAAGGAATGTTCAGCTCTGTGAGTTAAACTCATTCGTCACCATGAGTTTTCTGTGAATGCTTCTGTTTTAGTTCTGTGCGGGTTATCCCGTTTCCAACGAAATCCTCAGAGAGGTCCAAATATCTACTTGCAGTTTCTACAGAAAGACCGTTTCAAACCTGAACTATCAAAGAAAGGTTCAACACTTGTGAGTTGAATGCAAACATCACGAAGAAGGTTCTGAGAATGCTTCTGTTTAGTTCTGTGCGGTTTATCCCGTTTCCAACGAAATCCTCAGAGAGGACCAAATATCCACTTGCAGTTTCTACAAAAAGAGTGTTTCAAAGCTGAACTATCAAAGAAAGGTTCAGCACTGTGAGTTGAATGCAAACATCACGAAGAGGGTTCTGAGAATGCTTCTGTCTTCTTTTTATAGGAAGTTATTTCCTTTACTACGGTAGGCCTCAAAGAAGTGCAATGATCCCCTTGCAGTTTCTACAAAAAGAGTGTTTCAAAGCTGAACTATCAAAGAAAGGTTCCACACTGTGAGTTGAATGCAGACATCACGAAGAAGGTTCTGAGAATGCTTCTGTTTAGTCAGCTGAAATTATCCCGTTTCCAACGAATTCCTCAGAGAGGTCCAAATATGCACTTGCAGATTCTGCAGAAAGTGTGTTTCTAAACTGCTACATCGCAAGGAATGTTCAGCTCTGTGAGTTCCACTCAATCATCCCAAAGAATTTTCTGAGAAAGCTTCTGTCTAGATGTCATGTGAAGATATACCCGTTTCGAACGAAGGACACAGAGTGGTCCAAATATCCACTTGTAGATCCTGCAAAAAGAGTGTTTCAAACGTGAACTTTGAAAGGAAAGTTCAACTCTGGGATTTGAATGCAAACACCACAAAGAAGATTCTGAGACTGCTTCTGTATAGTTTTGATGTGAAGGTGATTCCGTTTCCAACGAAATCTTCAAACAGGTCTACATGTCCCCTTGCAGATGCCACAGAAAGAGAGTTTCAAAACTGCGCTCTCAAAAGGAGTGTTCAACTCCGTGAGTTGAATGCAGTCATCACAGAGAAGCTTCTGAGAATGCTTCTATCTAGTATTTAGGTGAAGATATTTCCTTTTCCACCACAAACCACAAAGCCCTCCAAACGTCCACTTGCAGATTCTAGAAAAAGAGTGTTTCATAGCTGCTCTTTCCAAAGGAAAGTTCAACTCTGGGAGTTGAATACAAACATCACCAAAAAGTTCCTGAGAATGCATCTGTCTAGTTTTTCTATGAAGCTATTCCCTTTACTACCATAGGCCTCAAAGCGCTCCAAATCTCCACTTGCACATTCCACAACAAGAGTGTTTCCAAACTGCTCTATCAATAGGAATGTTCAACTCTGTGAGGTGAATGCAATCATCACAAAGCAGTTTCTGAGAATGCTTCCGTTTAGTTAGGTGCAGTTATCCCGTTTCCAACGAAATCCTCAGAGAGGTCCAAATATCCACTTGTAGATTCTACAAAAAGTGTGTCTCAAACCTGCTCCATCCAGAGGAATGGTCAGCTCTGTGATTTAAACTCAATCATCACAAAGTATTTTCTGAGAATGCTTCTGTCTAGATTTTATGCGAAGATATACCCGTTTCGAACGAAGGCCACAGAGTGGTCCAAATAGCCACTTGCAGATCCTACAAAAAGAGTGTTTCAAACCTGAACTATCAAAGGAAGGTTCAACTCTGGGATTTGAATGCAAACATCACCAAGAAGTTTCTGAGAATGCTTCTGTTTAGTTTTTATGTGAAGATATTCCCGTTTCCAAAGACATCTTCGGAGAGGTCCACATATCCACTTGCAGATTCCACAAAAAGAGAGTTTCAACACTGCTCTATCCATAGGAGGGTTCAACTCTGTGAGTTGAATGCAATCATCACAGAGAAGTTTCTGAGAAGGCTTCTCTCCAGTTTTTATGTGACCATAATTCGTTTTCCACCACAGGCCTGAAAGCACTCCAAATGTCCACTTGCAGACACTACGAAAAGCATGTTTCAGAACTACTCTATGAAAAGCAACGTGAAACTCTGGGAGTTGAACACAAACATCACAGAGAAGTTTCTGAGAATGCTTCTGTTTTAGTTCTGTGCGTTTTATCCCGTTTCCAACGAAATCCTCAGAGAGGCCCAAATATCCACTTGCAGATTCCACAGAAAGAGTGATTGGAAACTGCTGTTTGAAAAGGAACCTTCAACTCTGTGAGTTGAATGCAATCATCACAAAGAAGTTTCTGACAATGCTTCTATCTAGCTTTTACGGGAAGATAATTCCTTTTCCACCACAGGCCTCAAAGCCCTCCAAATGTCCACTTGCAGATTCTGGAAAAAGAGTGTTTCAAAGCTTCTCTCTCGAAAGGAAAGTTCAACTCTGTGAGTTGAATGCAAGCATCACAAAGAAGTTTCTGAGAATGCTACTGTCTAGCTTTTATATGAAGCTATTTCCTTTACTACCATAGGCCTCAAAGCGGTCCATATCTCCACTTGCAGATTCTACACAAAGAGAGTTTCCAAACTGCTCTGTCAAAGGGAATGTTCAACTCTGTGACTTGAATGCAATCATAACAAAGTAGTTTCTGAGAATGCTTCTGTTTTACTTCTGTGCGTTTTATCCCGTTTCCAACGAAATCCTCAGAGAGGCCCAAATATCCACTTGCAGATTCTACAAATAGTGTGTTTCGAAACTGCTCCATCCAAAGGAATGTTCAGCTCTGTGAGTTAAACTCAGTCGTCACCAAGAGTTTTCTGTGAATGCTTCTGTTTTAGTTCTGTGCGGTTTATCCCGTTTCCAACGAAATCCTCAGAGAGGACCAAATATCCACTTGCAGTTTCTACAAAAAGAGTGTTTCAAAGCTGCACTATCAAAGAAAGGTTCAGCACTGTGAGTTGAATGCAAACATCACGAAGAGGGCTCTGAGAATTCTTCTGTTTAGTTCTGTGCGGTTTATCCCGTTTCCAACGAAATCCTCAGAGAGGACCAAATATCCACTTGCAGTTTCTACAAGAAGAGTGTTTCAAAGCTGAACTATCAAAGAAAGGTTCAGCACTGTGAGTTGAATGCAAACATCACGAAGAGGGTTCTGAGAATGCTTCTGTCTTCTTTTTATAGGAAGTTATTTCCTTTACTACGGTAGGCCTCAAAGAAGTGCAATTATCCCCTTGCAGTTTCTACAAAAAGAGTGTTTCAAACCTGAACTATCAAAGAAAGGTTCCACACTGTGAGTTGAATGCAGACATCACGAAGAAGGTTCTGAGAATGCTTCTGTTTAGTCAGCTGAAATTATCCCGTTTCCAACGAATTCCTCAGAGAGGTCCACATATGCACTTGCAGATTCTGCAGAAAGTGTGTTTCTAAACTGCTACATCGCAAGGAATGTTCAGCTCTGTGAGTTCAACTCAATCATCCCAAAGAATTTTCTGAGAAAGCTTCTGTCTAGATGTCATGTGAAGATATACCCGTTTCGAACGAAGGACACAGAGTGGTACAAATATCCACTTGTAGATCCTGCAAAAAGAGTGTTTCAAACGTGAACTTGGAAAGGAAAGTTCAACTCTGGGATTTGAATGCAAACATCACAAAGAAGATTCTGAGACTGCTTCTGTATAGTTTTTATGTGAAGATGATTCCGTTTCCAACGAAATCTTCAAAGAGGTCTACATGTCCCCTTGCAGATGCCACAGAAAGAGAGTTTCAAAACTACGCTCTCAAAAGGAGTGTTCAACTCCGTGAGTTGAATGCAGTCATCACAGAGAAGCTTCTGAGAATGCTTCTATCTAGTATTTAGGTGAAGATATTTCCTTTTCCACCACAAACCACAAAGCCCTCCAAACGTCCACTTGCAGATTCTAGAAAAAGAGTGTTTCATAGCTGCTCTTTCCAAAGGAAAGTTCAACTCTGGGAGTTGAATACAAACATCACCAAAAGGTTCCTGAGAATGCATCTGTCTAGTTTTTCTATGAAGCTATTCCCTTTACTACCATAGACCTCAAAGCGCTCCAAATCTCCACTTGCACATTCCACAACAAGAGTGTTTCCAAACTGCTCTATCAATAGGAATGTTCAACTCTGTGAGGTGAATGCAATCATCACAAAGCAGTTTCTGAGAATGCTTCCGTTTAGTTCGGTGCAGTTATCCCGTTTCCAACGAAATCCTCAGAGAGGTCCAAATATCCACTTGTGGATTCTACAAAAAGTGTGTCTCAAGCCTGCTCCATCCAAAGGAATGTTCAGCTCTGTGAGTTAAACTCAATCATCACAAAGTATTTTCTGAGAATGCTTCTGTCTAGATTTTATGCGAAGATGTACCCGTTTCGAACGAAGGCCACAGAGTGGTCCAAATATCCACTTGCAGATCCTACAAAAAGAGTGTTTCAAACCTGAACTATCAAAGGAAGGTTCAACTCTGGGATTTGAATGCAAACATCACCAAGAAGTTTCTGAGAATGCTTCTGTTTAGTTTTTATGTGAAGATATTCCCGTTTCCAAAGACATCTTCGGAGAGGTCCACATATCCACTTGCAGATTCCACAAAAAGAGAGTTTCAACAATGCTCTATCCATAGGAGGGTTCAAATCTGTGAGTTGAATGCAATCATCACAGAGAAGTTTCTGAGAAGGCTTCTCTCCAGTTTTTATGGGACCATAATTCGTTTTCCACCACAGGCCTGAAAGCGCTCCAAATGTCCACTTGCAGACACTACGAAAAGCATGTTTCAGAACTACTCTATGAAAAGCAATGTGAAACTCTGGGAGTTGAACACAAACATCACAGAGAAGTTTCTGAGAATGCTTCTGTTTAGCTTTCCTGTGAAGATTCTCCCGTTTCCAACGAAATCTTCAAAATAGGTCCAAATATCCACTTGCAGATTCCACAGAAAGAGTGATTGGAAACTGCTCTTTGAAAAGGAACCTTCAACTACTGTGAGTTGAATGCAATCATCACAAAGAAGTTTCTGACAATGCTTCTATCTAGCTTTTATGGGAAGATAATTCCTTTTCACCACAGGCCTCAAAGCCCTCCAAAAGTCCACTTGCAGATTCTGGAAAAAGAGTGTTTCAAAGCTTCTCTCTCGAAAGGAAAGTTCAACTCTGTGAGTTGAATGCAAGCATCACAAAGAAGTTTCTGAGAATGCCACTGTCTAGCTTTTATATGAAGCTATTTCCTTTACTACCATAGGCCTCAAAGCGGTCCATATCTCCACTTGCAGATTCTACACAAAGAGAGTTTCCAAACTGCTCTGTCAAAGGGAATGTTCAACTCTGTGACTTGAATGCAATCATCACAAAGTAGTTTCTGAGAATGCTTCTGTTTAGTTCTGTGCGGTTTATCCCGTTTCCAACGAAATCCTCAGAGAGGCCCAAATATCCACTTGCACATTCTACATATAGTGTGTTTCGAAACTGCTCCATCCAAAGGAATGTTCAGCTCTGTGCGTTAAACTCAGTCGTCACCAAGAGTTTTCTGTGAATGCTTCTGTTTTAGTTCTGTGCGGTTTATCCCGTTTCCAAAGAAATACTCAGAGAGGTCCAAATATCTACTTGCAGTTTCTACAGAAAGACCGTTTCAAACCTGAACTATCAAAGAAAGGTTCAACACTGTGAGTTGAATGCAAACATCACGAAGAAGGTTCTGAGAATGCTTCTGTTTAGTTCTGTGCGGTTTATCCCGTTTCCAACGAAATCCTCAGAGAGGACCAAATATCCACTTGCAGTTTCTACAAGAAGAGTGTTTCAAAGCTGAACTATCAAAGAAAGGTTCAGCACTGTGAGTTGAATGCAAACATCACGAAGAGGGTTCTGAGAATGCTTCTGTCTTCTTTTTATAGGAAGTTATTTCCTTTACTACGGTAGGCCTCAAAGAAGTGCAATTATCCCCTTGCAGTTTCTACAAAAAGAGTGTTTCAAACCTGAACTATCAAAGAAAGGTTCCACACTGTGAGTTGAATGCAGACATCACGAAGAAGGTTCTGAGAATGCTTCTGTTTAGTCAGCTGAAATTATCCCGTTTCCAACGAATTCCTCAGAGAGGTCCAAATATGCACTTGCAGATTCTGCAGAAAGTGTGTTTCTAAACTGCTACATCGCAAGGAATGTTCAGCTCTGTGAGTTCCACTCAATCATCCCAAAGAATTTTCTGAGAAAGCTTCTGTCTAGATGTCATGTGAAGATATACCCGTTTCGAACGAAGGACACAGAGTGGTCCAAATATCCACTTGTAGATCCTGCAAAAAGAGTGTTTCAAACGTGAACTTTGAAAGGAAAGTTCAACTCTGGGATTTGAATGCAAACATCACAAAGAAGATTCTGAGACTGCTTCTGTATAGTTTTTATGTGAAGATGATTCCGTTTCCAACGAAATCTTCAAAGAGGTCTACATGTCCCCTTGCAGATGCCACAGAAAGAGAGTTTCAAAACTGCGCTCTCAAAAGGAGTGTTCAACTCCGTGAGTTGAATGCAGTCATCACAGAGAAGCTTCTGAGAATGCTTCTATCTAGTATTTAGGTGAAGATATTTCCTTTTCTACCGCAAACCACAAAGCCCTCCAAACGTCCACTTGCAGATTCTAGAAAAAGAGTGTTTCATAGCTGCTCTTTCCAAAGGAAAGTTCAACTCTGGGAGTTGAATACAAACATCACCAAAAAGTTCCTGAGAATGCATCTGTCTAGTTTTTCTATGAAGCTATTCCCTTTACTACCATAGGCCTCAAAGTGCTCCAAATCACCACTTGCACATTCCACAACAAGAGTGTTTCCAAACTGCTCTATCAATAGGAATGTTCAACTCTGTGAGGTGAATGCAATCATCACAAAGCAGTTTCTGAGAATGCTTCCGTTTAGTTAGGTGCAGTTATCCCGTTTCCAACGAAATCCTCAGAGAGGTCCAAATATCCACTTGTAGATTCTACAAAAAGTGTGTCTCAAACCTGCTCCATCTAAAGGAATGTTCAGCTCTGTGAGTTAAACTCAATCATCACAAAGTATTTTCTGAGAATGCTTCTGTGTAGATTTTATGCGAAGATGTACCCGTTTCGAACGAAGGCCACAGAGTGTTCCAAATATCCACTTGCAGATCCTACAAAAAGAGTGTTTCAAACCTGAACTATCAAAGGAATGTTCAACTCTGGGAATTGAATGCAAATATCACCAAGAAGTTTCTGAGAATGCTTCTGTTTAGTTTTTATGTGAAGATATTCCCGTTTCCAAAGACATCTTCGGAGAGGTCCACATATCCACTTGCAGATTCCACAAAAAGAGAGTTTCAACACTGCTCTATCCATAGGAGAGTTCAACTCTGTGAGTTGAATGCAATCATCACAGAGAAGTTTCTGAGAAGGCTTCTCTCCAGTTTTTATGTGACCATAATTCGTTTTCCACCACAGGCCTGAAAGCGCTCCAAATGTCCACTTGCAGACACTACGAAAAGCATGTTTCAGAACTACTCTATGAGAAGCACTGTGAAACTCTGGGAGTTGAACACAAACATCACAGAGAAGTTTCTGAGAATGCTTCTGTTTAGCTTTTCTGTGAAGGTTATCCCGTTTCCAACGAAATCTTCAAAGAGGTCCAAATATCCACTTGCAGATTCCACAGAAAGAGTGTTTGGAAACTGCTGTTTGAAAAGGAACCTTCAACTCTGAGAGTTGAATGCAATCATCACAAAGAAGTTTCTGACAATGCTTCTATCTAGCTTTTACGGGAAGATAATTCCTTTTCCACCACAGGCCTCAAAGCTCCCCAAATGTCCACTTGCACATTCTGGAAAAAGAGTGTTTCAAAGCTTCTCTCTCGAAAGGAAAGTTCAACTCTGTGAGTTGAATGCAAGCATCACAAAGAAGTTTCTGAGAATGCTACTGTCTAGCTTTTATATGAAGCTATTTCCTTTACTACCATAGGCCTCAAACCGGTCCATATCTCCACTTGCAGATTCTACACAAAGAGAGTTTCCAAACTGCTCTGTCAAAGGGAATGTTCAACTCTGTGACTTGAATGCAATCATCACAAAGTAGTTTCTGAGAATGCTTCTGTTTTAGTTCTGTGCGGTTTATCCCGTTTCCAACGAAATCGTCAGAGAGGCCCACATATCCACTTGCAGATTCTACAAATAGTGTGTTTTGAAACTGCTCCATCCAAAGGAATGTTCAGCTCTGTGAGTTAAACTCAGTCGTCACCAAGAGTTTTCTGTGAATGCTTCTGTTTTAGTTCTGTGCGGGTTATCCCGTTTCCAACGAAATCCTCAGAGAGGTCCAAATATCTACTTGCAGTTTCTACAGAAAGACCGTTTCAAACCTGAACTATCAAAGAAAGGTTCAACACTGTGAGTTGAATGCAAACATCACGAAGAAGGTTCTGAGAATGCTTCTGTTTTAGTTCTGTGCGGTTTATCCCGTTTCCAACGAAATCCTCAGAGAGGACCAAACATCCACTTGCAGTTTCTACAAAAAGAGTGTTTCAAAGCTGCACTATCAAAGAAAGGTTCAGCACTGTGAGTTGAATGCAAACATCACGAAGAGGGCTCTGAGAATTCTTCTGTCTTCTTTCTATAGGAAGTTATTTCCTTTACTACGGTAGGCCTCAAAGAAGTGCAATTATCCCCTTGCAGTTTCTACAAAAAGAGTGTTTCAAACCTGAACTATCAAAGAAAGGTTCCACACTGTGAGTTGAATGCAGACATCACGAAGAAGGTTCTGAGAATGCTTCTGTTTAGTCAGCTGAAATTATCCCGTTTCCAACGAATTCCTCAGAGAGGTCCAAATATGCACTTGCAGATTCTGCAGAAAGTGTGTTTCTAAACTGCTACATCGCAAGGAATGTTCAGCTCTGTGAGTTCCACTCAATCATCCCAAAGAATTTTCTGAGAAAGCTTCTGTCTAGATGTCATGTGAAGATATACCCGTTTCGAACGAAGGACACAGAGTGGTCCAAATATCCACTTGTAGATCCTGCAAAAAGAGTGTTTCAAACGTGAACTTTGAAAGGAAAGTTCAACTCTGGGATTTGAATGCAAACATCACAAAGAAGATTCTGAGACTGCTTCTGTATAGTTTTTATGTGAAGATGATTCCGTTTCCAACGAAATCTTCAAAGAGGTCTACATGTCCCCTTGCAGATGCCACAGAAAGAGAGTTTCAAAACTGCGCTCTCAAAAGGAGTGTTCAACTCCGTGAGTTGAATGCAGTCATCACAGAGAAGCTTCTGAGAATGCTTCTATCTAGTATTTAGGTGAAGATATTTCCTTTTCCACCACAAACCACAAAGCCCTCCAAACGTCCACTTGCAGATTCTAGAAAAAGAGTGTTTCATAGCTGCTCTTTCCAAAGGAAAGTTCAACTCTGGGAGTTGAATACAAACATCACCAAAAAGTTCCTGAAAATGCATCTGTCTAGTTTTTCTATGAAGCTATTCCCTTTACTACCATAGGCCTCAAAGCGCTCCAAATCTCCACTTGCACATTCCACAACAAGAGTGTTTCCAAACTGCTCTATCAATAGGAATGTTCAACTCTGTGAGGTGAATGCAATCATCACAAAGCAGTTTCTGAGAATGCTTCCGTTTAGTTAGGTGCAGTTATCCCGTTTCCAACGAAATCCTCAGAGAGGTCCAAATATCCACTTGTAGATTCTACAAAAAGTGTGTCTCAAACCTGCTCCATCCAAAGGAATGTTCAGCTCTGTGAGTTCAACTCAATCATCACAAAGTATTTTCTGAGAATGCTTCTGTCTAGATTTTATGCGAAGATGTACCCGTTTCGAACGAAGGCCACAGAGTGGTCCAAATATCCACTTGCAGATCCTACAAAAAGAGTGTTTCAAACCTGAACTACCAAAGGAAGGTTCAACTCTGGGATTTGAATGCAAACATCACCAAGAAGTTTCTGAGAATGCTTCTGTTTAGTTTTTATGTGAAGATATTCCCGTTTCCAAAGACATCTTCGGAGAGGTCCACATATCCACTTGCAGATTCCACAAAAAGAGAGTTTCAACACTGCTCTATCCATAGGAGGGTTCAACTCTGTGAGTTGAATGCAATCATCACAGAGAAGTTTCTGAGAAGGCTTCTCTCCAGTTTTTATGTGACCATAATTCGGTTTTCCACCACAGGCCTGAAAGCGCTCCAAATGTCCACTTGCAGACACTACGAAAAGCATGTTTCAGAACTACTCTATGAAAAGCAATGTGAAACTCTGGGAGTTGAACACAAACATCACAGAGAAGTTTCTGAGAATGCTTCTGTTTTAGTTCTGTGCGTTTTATCCCGTTTCCAACGAAATCCTCAGAGAGGCCCAAATATCCACTTGCAGATTCCACAGAAAGAGTGATTGGAAACTGCTGTTTGAAAAGGAACCTTCAACTCTGTGAGTTGAATGCAATCATCACAAAGAAGTTTCTGACAATGCTTCTATCTAGCTTTTACGGGAAGATAATTCCTTTTCCACCACAGGCCTCAAAGCCCTCCAAATGTCCACTTGCAGATTCTGGAAAAAGAGTGTTTCAAAGCTTCTCTCTCGAAAGGAAAGTTCAACTCTGTGAGTTGAATGCAAGCATCACAAAGAAGTTTCTGAGAATGCTACTGTCTAGCTTTTATATGAAGCTATTTCCTTTACTACCATAGGCCTCAAAGCGGTCCATATCTCCACTTGCAGATTCTACACAAAGAGAGTTTCCAAACTGCTCTGTCAAAGGGAATGTTCAACTCTGTGACTTGAATGCAATCATCACAAAGTAGTTTCTGAGAATGCTTCTGTTTAGTTCTGTGCGGTTTATCCCGTTTCCAACGAAATCCTCAGAGAGGCCTAAATATCCACTTGCACATTCTACAAATAGTGTGTTTCGAAACTGCTCCATCCAAAGGGAATGTTCAGCTCTGTGAGTTAAACTCAGTCGTCACCAAGAGTTTTCTGTGAATGCTTCTGTTTTAGTTCTGTGCGGGTTATCCCGTTTCCAACGAAATCCTCAGAGAGGTCCAAATATCTACTTGCAGTTTCTACAGAAAGACCGTTTCAAACCTGAACTATCAAAGAAAGGTTCAACACTGTGAGTTGAATGCAAACATCACGAAGAAGGTTCTGAGAATGCTTCTGTTTAGTTCTGTGCGGTTTATCCCGTTTCCAACGAAATCCTCAGAGAGGACCAAATATCCACTTGCAGTTTCTACAAGAAGAGTGTTTCAAAGCTGAACTATCAAAGAAAGGTTCAGCACTGTGAGTTGAATGCAAACATCACGAAGAGGGTTCTGAGAATGCTTCTGTCTTCTTTCTATAGGAAGTTATTTCCTTTACTACGGTAGGCCTCAAAGAAGTGCAATTATCCCCTTGCAGTTTCTACAAAAAGAGTGTTTCAAACCTGAACTATCAAAGAAAGGTTCCACACTGTGAGTTGAATGCAGACATCACGAAGAAGGTTCTGAGAATGCTTCTGTTTAGTCAGCTGAAATTATCCCGTTTCCAACGAATTCCTCAGAGAGGTCCAAATATGCACTTGCAGATTCTGCAGAAAGTGTGTTTCTAAACTGCTACATCGCAAGGAATGTTCAGCTCTGTGAGTTCAACTCAATCATCCCAAAGAATTTTCTGAGAAAGCTTCTGTCTAGATGTCCTGTGAAGATATACCCGTTTCGAACGAAGGACACAGAGTGGTCCAAATATCCACTTGTAGATCCTGCAAAAAGAGTGTTTCAAACGTGAACTTTGAAAGGAAAGTTCAACTCTGGGATTTGAATGCAAACATCACAAAGAAGATTCTGAGACTGCTTCTGTATAGTTTTTATGTGAAGATGATTCCGTTTCCAAAGAAATCTTCAAAGAGGTCTACATGTCCCCTTGCAGATGCCACAGAAAGAGAGTTTCAAAACTGCGCTCTCAAAAGGAGTGTTCAACTCCGTGAGTTGAATGCAGTCATCACAGAGAAGCTTCTGAGGATGCTTCTATCTAGTATTTAGGTGAAGATATTTCCTTTTCCACCACAAACCACAAAGCCCTCCAAACGTCCACTTGCAGATTCTAGAAAAAGAGTGTTTCATAGCTGCTCTTTCCAAAGGAAAGTTCAACTCTGGGAGTTGAATACAAACATCACCAAAAAGTTCCTGAGAATGCATCTGTCTAGTTTTTCTATGAAGCTATTCCCTTTACTACCATAGGCCTCAAAGCGCTCCAAATCTCCACTTGCACATTCCACAACAAGAGTGTTTCCAAACTGCTCTATCAATAGGAATGTTCAACTACTGTGAGGTGAATGCAATCATCACAAAGCAGTTTCTGAGAATGCTTTCCGTTTAGTTAGGTGCAGTTATCCCGTTTCCAACGAAATCCTCAGAGAGGTCCAAATATCCACTTGTAGATTCTATAAAAAGTGTGTCTCAAACCTGCTCCATCCAAAGGAATGTTCAGCTCTGTGATTTAAACTCAATCATCACAAAGTATTTTCTGAGAATGCTTCTGTCTAGATTTTATGCGAAGATATACCCGTTTCGAACGAAGGCCACAGAGTGGTCCAAATAGCCACTTGCAGATCCTACAGAAAGAGTGTTTCAAACCTGAACTATCAAAGGAAGGTTCAACTCTGGGATTTGAATGCAAACATCACCAAGAAGTTTCTGAGAATGCTTCTGTTTAGTTTTTATGTGAAGATATTCCCGTTTCCAAAGACATCTTCGGAGAGGTCCACATATCCACTTGCAGATTCCACAAAAAGAGAGTTTGAACACTGCTCTATCCATAGGAGGGTTCAACTCTGTGAGTTGAATGCAATCATCACAGAGAAGTTTCTGAGAAGGCTTCTCTCCAGTTTTTATGTGACCATAATTCGTTTTCCACCACAGGCCTGAAAGCGCTCCAAATGTCCACTTGCAGACACTACGAAAAGCATGTTTCAGAACTACTCTATGAAAAGCAACGTGAAACTCTGGGAGTTGAACACAAACATCACAGAGAAGTTTCTGAGAATGCTTCTGTTTTAGTTCTGTGCGTTTTATCCCGTTTCCAACGAAATCCTCAGAGAGGCCCAAATATCCACTTGCAGATTCCACAGAAAGAGTGATTGGAAACTGCTGTTTGAAAAGGAACCTTCAACTCTGTGAGTTGAATGCAATCATCACAAAGAAGTTTCTGACAATGCTTCTGTCTAGCTTTTACGGGAAGATAATTCCTTTTCCACCACAGGCCTCAATGCCCTCCAAATGTCCACTTGCAGTTTCTGGAAAAGAGTGTTTCAAAGCTTCTCTCTCGAAAGGAAAGTTCAACTCTGTGAGTTGAATGCAAGCATCACAAAGAAGTTTCTGAGAATGCTACTGTCTAGCTTTTATATGAAGCTATTTCCTTTACTACCATAGGCCTCAAAGCGGTCCATATCTCCACTTGCAGATTCTACACAAAGAGAGTTTCCAAACTGCTCTGTCAAAGGGAATGTTCAACTCTGTGACTTGAATGCAATCATCACAAAGTAGTTTCTGAGAATGCTTCTGTTTTAGTTCTGTGCGGTTTATCCCGTTTCCAACGAAATCCTCAGAGAGGCCCACATATCCACTTGCAGATTCTACAAATAGTGTGTTTTGAAACTGCTCCATCCAAAGGAATGTTCAGCTCTGTGAGTTAAACTCAGTCGTCACCAAGAGTTTTCTGTGAATGCTTCTGTTTAGTTCTGTGCGTTTTATCCCTTTTCCAACGAAATCCTCAGAGAGGACCAAATATCCATTTGCAGTTTCTACAAAAGGAGTGTTTCAAAGCTGAACTATCAAAGAAAGGTTCAGCACTGTGAGTTGAATGCAAACATCACGAAGAGGGTTCTGAGAATGCTTCTGTCTTCTTTTTATAGGAAGTTATTTCCTTTACTACGGTACTCCTCAAAGAGTGCAATTATCCCCTTGCAGTTCCTACAAAAAGAGTGTTTCAAACCTGAACTATCAAAGAAAGGTTCCACACTGTGAGTTGAATGCAGACATCACGAAGAAGGTTCTGAGAATACTTCTGTTTAGTCAGCTGAAATTATCCCGTTTCCAACGAATTCCTCAGAGAGGTCCAAATATGCACTTGCAGATTCTGCAGAAAGTGTGTTTCTAAACTGCTACATCGCAAGGAATGCTCAGCTCTGTGAGTTCAAATCAATCATCCCAAACAATTTTCTGAGAAAGCTTCTGTCTAGATGTCATGTGAAGATATACCCGTTTCGAACGAAGGACACAGAGTGGTCCAAATATCCACTTGTAGATCCTGCAAAAAGAGTGTTTCAAACGTGAACTTTGAAAGGAAAGTTCAACTCTGGGATTTGAATGCAAACATCACAAAGAAGATTCTGAGACTGCTTCTGTATAGTTTTGATGTGAAGATGATTCCGTTACCAACGAAATTTTCAAAGAGGTCTACATGTCCCCTTGCAGATGCCACAGAAAGAGAGTTTCAAAACTGCGCTCTCAAAAGGAGTGTTCAACTCCGTGAGTTGAATGCAGTCATCACAGAGAAGCTTCTGAGAATGCTTCTCTCTACTATTTAGGTGAAGATATTTCCTTTTCCACCACAAACCACAAAGCCCTCCAAACGTCCACTTGCAGATTCTAGAAAAAGATTGTTTCACAGCTGCTCTTTCCAAAGGAAAGTTCAACTCTGGGAGTTGAATACAAACATCACCAAAAAGTTCCTGAGAATGCATCTGTCTAGTTTTTCTATGAAGCTATTCCCTTTACTACCATAGGCCTCAAAGCGCTCCAAATCTCCACTTGCACATTCCACAACAAGAGTGTTTCCAAACTGCTCTATCAATAGGAATGTTCAACTCTGTGAGGTGAATGCAATCATCACAAAGCAGTTTCTGAGAATGCTTCCGTTTAGTTAGGTGCAGTTATCGCGTTTCCAACGAAATCCTCAGAGAGGTCCAAATATCCACTTGTAGATTCTACAAAAAGTGTGTCTCAAACCTGCTCCATCCAAAGGAATGTTCAGCTCTGTGAGTTAAACTCAATCATCACAAAGTATTTTCTGAGAATGCTTCTGTCTAGATTTTATGCGAAGATGTACCCGTTTCGAACGAAGGCCACAGAGTGGTCCAAATATCCACTTGCAGATCCTACAAAAAGAGTGTTTCAAACCTGAACTCTCAAAGGAAGGTTCAACTCTGGGATTTGAATGCAAACATCACCAAGAAGTTTCTGAGAATGCTTCTGTTTAGTTTTTATGTGAAGATATTCCCGTTTCCAAAGACATCTTCGGAGAGGTCCACATATCCGCTTGCAGATTCCACAAAAAGAGAGTTTCAACACTGCTCTATCCATAGGAGGGTTCAACTCTGTGAGTTGAATGCAATCATCACAGAGAAGTTTCTGAGAAGGCTTCTCTCCAGTTTTCATGTGACCATAATTCGTTTTCCACCACAGGCCTGAAAGCGCTCCAAATGTCCACTTGCAGACACTACGAAAAGCATGTTTCAGAACTACTCTATGAGAAGCAATGAGAAACTCTGGGAGTTGAACACAAACATCACAGAGAAGTTTCTGAGAATGCTTCTGTTTAGCTTTTCTGTGAAGATTCTCCCGTTTCCAACGAAATCTTCAAAGAGGTCCAAATATCCACTTGCAGATTCCACAGAAAGAGTGATTGGAAACTGCTCTTTGAAAAGGAACCTTCAACTCTGTGACTTGTATGCAATCATCACAAAGAAGTTTCTGACAATGCTTCTATCTAGCTTTTACGGGAAGATAATTCCTTTTCCACCGCAGGCCTCAAAGCCCTCCAAATGTCCACTTGCACATTCTGGAAAAAGAGTGTTTCAAAGCTTCTCTCTCGAAAGGAAAGTTCAACTCTGTGAGTTGAATGCAAGCATCACAAAGAAGTTTCTGAGAATGCTACTGTCTAGCTTTTATATGAAGCTATTTCCTTTACTACCATAGGCCTCAAAGCGGTCCATATCTCCACTTGCAGATTCTACACAAAGAGAGTTTCCAAACTGCTCTGTCAAAGGGAATGTTCAACTCTGTGACTTGAATGCAATCATCACAAAGTAGTTTCTGAGAATGCTTCTGTTTAGTTCTGTGCGGTTTATCCCGTTTCCAACGAAATCCTCAGAGAGGCCCAAATATCCACTTGCACATTCTACAAATAGTGTGTTTCGAAACTGCTCCATCCAAAGGAATGTTCAGCTCTGTGAGTTAAACTCAGTCGTCACCAAGAGTTTTCTGTGAATGCTTCTGTTTTAGTTCTGTGCGGTTTATCCCGTTTCCAACGAAATCCTCAGAGAGGTCCAAATATCTACTTGCAGTTTCTACAGAAAGACCGTTTCCAACCTGAACTATCAAAGAAAGGTTCAACACTGTGAGTTGAATGCAAACATCACGAAGAAGGTTCTGAGAATGCTTCTGTTTAGTTCTGTGCGGTTTATCCCGTTTCCAACGAAATCCTCAGAGAGGACCAAATATCCACTTGCAGTTTCTACAAGAAGAGTGTTTCAAAGCTGAACTATCAAAGAAAGGTTCAGCACTGTGAGTTGAATGCAAACATCACGAAGAGGGTTCTGAGAATGCTTCTGTCTTCTTTCTATAGGAAGTTATTTCCTTTACTACGGTAGGCCTCAAAGAAGTGCAATTATCCCCTTGCAGTTTCTACAAAAAGAGTGTTTCAAACCTGAACTATCAAAGAAAGGTTCCACACTGTGAGTTGAATGCAGACATCACGAAGAAGGTTCTGAGAATGCTTCTGTTTAGTCAGCTGAAATTATCCCGTTTCCAACGAATTCCTCAGAGAGGGTCCAAATATGCACTTGCAGATTCTGCAGAAAGTGTGTTTCTAAACTGCTACATCGCAAGGAATGTTCAGCTCTGTGAGTTCCACTCAATCATCCCAAAGAATTTTCTGAGAAAGCTTCTGTCTAGATGTCATGTGAAGATATACCCGTTTCGAACGAAGGACACAGAGTGGTCCAAATATCCACTTGCAGATCCTGCAAAAAGAGTGTTTCAAACATGAACTTGGAAAGGAAAGTTCAACTCTGGGATTTGAATGCAAACATCACAAAGAAGATTCTGAGACTGCTTCTGTATAGTTTTGATGTGAAGATGATTCCGTTTCCAACGAAATCTTCAAAGAGGTCTACATGTCCCCTTGCAGATGCCACAGAAAGGGAGTTCCAAAACTGCGCTCTCAAAAGGAGTGTTCAACTCCGTGAGTTGAATGCAGTCATCACAGAGAAGCTTCTGAGAATGCTTCTATCTAGTATTTAGGTGAAGATATTTCCTTTTCCACCACAAACCACAAAGCCCTCCAAACGTCCACTTGCAGATTCTAGAAAAAGAGTGTTTCATAGCTGCTCTTTCCAAAGGAAAGTTCAACTCTGGGAGTTGAATACAAACATCACCAAAAAGTTCCTGAGAATGCATCTGTCTAGTTTTTCTATGAAGCTATTCCCTTTACTACCACAGGCCTCAAAGCGCTCCAAATCTCCACTTGCACATTCCGCAACAAGAGTGTTTCCAAACTGCTCTATCAATAGGAATGTTCAACTCTGTGAGGTGAATGCAATCATCACAAAGCAGTTTCTGAGAATGCTTCCGTTTAGTTAGGTGCAGTTATCCCGTTTCCAACGAAATCCTCAGAGAGGTCCAAATATCCACTTGTAGATTCTACAAAAAGTGTGTCTCAAACCTGCTCCATCCAAAGGAATGGTCAGCTCTGTGATTTAAACTCAATCATCACAAAGTATTTTCTGAGAATGCTTCTGTCTAGATTTTATGCGAAGATATACCCGTTTCGAACGAAGGCCACAGAGTGGTCCAAATAGCCACTTGCAGATCCTACAGAAAGAGTGTTTCAAACCTGAACTATCAAAGGAAGGTTCAACTCTGGGATTTGAATGCAAACATCACCAAGAAGTTTCTGAGAATGCTTCTGTTTAGTTTTTATGTGAAGATATTCCCGTTTCCAAAGACATCTTCGGAGAGGTCCACATATCCACTTGCAGATTCCACAAAAAGAGAGTTTCAACACTGCTCTATCCATAGGAGGGTTCAACTCTGTGAGTTGAATGCAATCATCACAGAGAAGTTTCTGAGAAGGCTCTCTCCAGTTTTTATGTGACCATAATTCGTTTTCCACCACAGGCCTGAAAGCGCTCCAAATGTCCACTTGTAGACACTACGAAAAGCATGTTTCAGAACTACTCTATGAAAAGCAATGTGAAACTCTGGGAGTTGAACACAAACATCACAGAGAAGTTTCTGAGAATGCTTCTGTTTAGCTTTCCTGTGAAGATTCTCCCGTTTCCAACGAAATCTTCAAAATAGGTCCAAATATCCACTTGCAGATTCCACAGAAAGAGTGATTGGAAACTGCTCTTTGAAAAGGAACCTTCAACTCTGTGAGTTGAATGCAATCATCACAAAGAAGTTTCTGACAATGCTTCTATCTAGCTTTTACGGGAAGATAATTCCTTTTCCACCACAGGCCTCAACGCCCTCCAAATGTCCACTTGCAGATTCTGGAAAAAGAGTGTTTCAAAGCTTCTCTCTCGAAAGGAAAGTTCAACTCTGTGAGTTGAATGCAAGCATCACAAAGAAGTTTCTGAGAATGCTACTGTCTAGCTTTTATATGAAGCTATTTCCTTTACTACCATAGGCCTCAAAGCGGTCCATATCTCCACTTGCAGATTCTACACAAAGAGAGTTTCCAAACTGCTCTGTCAAAGGGAATGTTCAACTCTGTGACTTGAATGCAATCATCACAAAGTAGTTTCTGAGAATGATTCTGTTTAGTTCTGTGCGGTTTATCCCGTTTCCAACGAAATCCTCAGAGAGGCCCACATATCCACTTGCACCTTCTAGAAATAGTGTGTTTCGAAACTGCTCCATCCAAAGGAATATTCAGCTCTGTGAGTTAAACTCAGTCGTCACCAAGAGTTTTCTGTGAATGCTTCTGTTTTAGTTCTGTGCGGTTTATCCCGTTTCCAACGAAATCCTCAGAGAGGTCCAAATATCTACTTGCAGTTTCCACAGAAAGACCGTTTCAAACCTGAACTATCAAAGAAAGGTTCAACACTGTGAGTTGAATGCAAACATCACGAAGAAGGTTCTGAGAATGCTTCTGTTTAGTTCTGTGCGGTTTATCCCGTTTCCAACGAAATCCTCAGAGAGGACCAAATATCCACTTGCAGTTTCTACAAAAAGAGTGTTTCAAAGCTGAACTATCAAAGAAAGGTTCAGCACCGTGAGTTGAATGCAAACATCACCAAGAGAGTTCTGAGAATGCTTCTGTCTTCTTTCTATAGGAAGTTATTTCCTTTACTACGGTAGGCCTCAAAGAAGTGCAATTATCCCCTTGCAGTTTCTACAAAAAGAGTGTTTCAAACCTGAACTATCAAAGAAAGGTTCCACACTGTGAGTTGAATGCAGACATCACGAAGAAGGTTCTGAGAATGCTTCTGTTTAGTCAGCTGAAATTATCCCGTTTCCAACGAATTCCTCAGAGAGGTCCAAATATGCACTTGCAGATTCTGCAGAAAGTGTGTTTCTAAACTGCTACATCGCAAGGAATGTTCAGCTCTGTGAGTTCCACTCAATCATCCCAAAGAATTTTCTGAGAAAGCTTCTGTCTAGATGTCATGTGAAGATATACCCGTTTCGAACGAAGGACACAGAGTGGTCCAAATATCCACTTGTAGATCCTGCAAAAAGAGTGTTTCAAACGTGAACTTGGAAAGGAAAGTTCAACTCTGGGATTTGAATGCAAACATCACAAAGAAGATTCTGAGACTGCTTCTGTATAGTTTTGATGTGAAGATGATTCCGTTTCCAACGAAATCTTCAAAGAGGTCTACATGTCCCCTTGCAGATGCCACAGAAAGAGAGTTTCAAAACTGCGCTCTCAAAAGGAGTGTTCAACTCCGTGAGTTGAATGCAGTCATCACAGAGAAGCTTCTGAGAATGCTTCTATCTAGTATTTAGGTGAAGATATTTCCTTTTCCACCACAAACCACAAAGCCCTCCAAACGTCCACTTGCAGATTCTAGAAAAAGAGTGTTTCATAGCTGCTCTTTCCAAAGGAAAGTTCAACTCTGGGAGTTGAATACAAACATCACCAAAAAGTTCCTGAGAATGCATCTGTCTAGTTTTTCTATGAAGCTATTCCCTTTACTACCACAGGCCTCAAAGCGCTCCAAATCTCCACTTGCACATTCCACAACAAGAGTGTTTCCAAACTGCTCTATCAATAGGAATGTTCAACTCTGTGAGGTGAATGCAATCATCACAAAGCAGTTTCTGAGAATGCTTCCCGTTTAGTTAGGTGCAGTTATCCCGTTTCCAACGAAATCCTCAGAGAGGTCCAAATATCCACTTGTAGATTCTACAAAAAGTGTGTCTCAAACCTGCTCCATCCAAAGGAATGGTCAGCTCTGTGATTTAAACTCAATCATCACAAAGTATTTTCTGAGAATGCTTCTGTCTAGATTTTATGCGAAGATGTACCCGTTTCGAACGAAGGCCACAGAGTGGTCCAAATATCCACTTGCAGATCCTACAAAAAGAGTGTTTCAAACCTGAACTCTCAAAGGAAGGTTCAACTCTGGGATTTGAATGCAAACATCACCAAGAAGTTTCTGAGAATGCTTCTGTTTAGTTTTTATGTGAAGATATTCCCGTTTCCAAAGACATCTTCGGAGAGGTCCACATATCCGCTTGCAGATTCCACAAAAAGAGAGTTTCAACACTGCTCTATGCATAGGAGGTTTCAACTCTGTGAGTTGAATGCAATCATCACAGAGAAGTTTCTGAGAAGGCTTCTCTCCAGTTTTTATGTGACCATAATTCGTTTTCCACCACAGGCCTGAAAGCGCTCCAAATGTCCACTTGTAGACACTACGAAAAGCATGTTTCAGAACTACTCTATGAAAAGCAATGTGAAACTCTGGGAGTTGAACACAAACATCACAGAGAAGTTTCTGAGAATGCTTCTGTTTAGCTTTCCTGTGAAGATTCTCCCGTTTCCAACGAAATCTTCAAAATAGGTCCAAATATCCACTTGCAGATTCCACAGAAAGAGTGATTGGAAACTGCTCTTTGAAAAGGAACCTTCAACTCTGTGAGTTGAATGCAATCATCACAAAGAAGTTTCTGACAATGCTTCTATCTAGCTTTTACGGGAAGATAATTCCTTTTCCACCACAGGCCTCAAAGCCCTCCAAATGTCCACTTGCAGATTCTGGAAAAAGAGTGTTTCAAAGCTTCTCTCTCGAAAGGAAAGTTCAACTCTGTGAGTTGAATGCAAGCATCACAAAGAAGTTTCTGAGAATGCTACTGTCTAGCTTTTATATGAAGCTATTTCCTTTACTACCATAGGCCTCAAAGCGGTCCATATCTCCACTTGCAGATTCTACACAAAGAGAGTTTCCAAACTGCTCTGTCAAAGGGAATGTTCAACTCTGTGACTTGAATGCAATCATCACAAAGTAGTTTCTGAGAATGCTTCTGTTTAGTTCAGTGCGGTTTATCCCGTTTGCAACGAAATCCTCAGAGAGGCCCAAATATCCACTTGCAGATTCTACAAATAGTGTGTTTCGAAACTGCTCCATTCAAAGGAATCTTCAGCTCTGTGAGTTAAACTCAGTCGTCACCAAGAGTTTTCTGTGAATGCTTCTGTTTTAGTTCTGTGCGGTTTATCCCGTTTCCAACGAAATCCTCAGAGAGGTCCAAATATCTACTTGCAGTTTCTACAGAAAGACCGTTTCCAACCTGAACTATCAAAGAAAGGTTCAACACTGTGAGTTGAATGCAAACATCACGAAGAAGGTTCTGAGAATGCTTCTGTTTTAGTTCTGTGCGGTTTATCCCGTTTCCAACGAAATCCTCAGAGAGGACCAAATATCCACTTGCAGTTTCTACAAAAAGAGTGTTTCAAAGCTGCACTATCAAAGAAAGGTTCAGCACTGTGAGTTGAATGCAAACATCACGAAGAGGGCTCTGAGAATTCTTCTGTCTTCTTTCTATAGGAAGTTATTTCCTTGACTACGGTAGGCCTCAAAGAAGTGCAATTATCCCCTTGCAGTTTCTACAAAAAGAGTGTTTCAAACCTGAACTATCAAAGAAAGGTTCCACACTGTGAGTTGAATGCAGACATCACGAAGAAGGTTCTGAGAATGCTTCTGTTTAGTCAGCTGAAATTATCCCGTTTCCAACGAATTCCTCAGAGAGGTCCAAATATGCACTTGCAGATTCTGCAGAAAGTGTGTTTCTAAACTGCTACATCGCAAGGAATGTTCAGCTCTGTGAGTTCCACTCAATCATCCCAAAGAATTTTCTGAGAAAGCTTCTGTCTAGATGTCCTGTGAAGATATACCCGTTTCGAACGAAGGACACAGAGTGGTCCAAATATCCACTTGTAGATCCTGCAAAAAGAGTGTTTCAAACGTGAACTTTGAAAGGAAAGTTCAACTCTGGGATTTGAATGCAAACATCACAAAGAAGATTCTGAGACTGCTTCTGTATAGTTTTTATGTGAAGATGATTCCGTTTCCAACGAAATCTTCAAAGAGGTCTACATGTCCCCTTGCAGATGCCACAGAAAGGGAGTTTCAAAACTGCGCTCTCAAAAGGAGTGTTCAACTCCGTGAGTTGAATGCAGTCATCACAGAGAAGCTTCTGAGAATGCTTCTATCTAGTATTTAGGTGAAGATATTTCCTTTTCCACCACAAACCACAAAACCCTCCAAACGTCCACTTGCAGATTCTAGAAAAAGAGTGTTTCATAGCTGCTCTTTCCAAAGGAAAGTTCAACTCTGGGAGTTGAATACAAACATCACCAAAAAGTTCCTGAGAATGCATCTGTCTAGTTTTTCTATGAAGCTATTCCCTTTACTACCACAGGCCTCAAAGCGCTCCAAATCTCCACTTGCACATTCCACAACAAGAGTGTTTCCAAACTGCTCTATCAATAGGAATGTTCAACTCTGTGAGGTGAATGCAATCATCACAAAGCAGTTTCTGAGAATGCTTCCGTTTAGTTAGGTGCAGTTATCCCGTTTCCAACGAAATCCTCAGAGAGGTCCAAATATCCACTTGTAGATTCTACAAAAAGTGTGTCTCAAACCTGCTCCATCCAAAGGAATGTTCAGCTCTGTGAGTTAAACTCAATCATCACAAAGTATTTTCTGAGAATGCTTCTGTCTAGATTTTATGCGAAGATATACCCGTTTCGAATGAAGGCCACAGAGTGGTCCAAATAGCCACTTGCAGATCCTACAAAAAGAGTGTTTCAAACCTGAACTATCAAAGGAAGGTTCAACTCTGGGATTTGAATTCAAACATCACCAAGAAGTTTCTGAGAATGCTTCTGTTTAGTTTTTATGTGAAGATATTCCCGTTTCCAAAGACATCTTCGGAGAGGTCCACATATCCACTTGCAGATTCCACAAAAAGAGAGTTTCAACACTGCTCTATCCATAGGAGGGTTCAACTCTGTGAGTTGAATGCAATCATCACAGAGAAGTTTCTGAGAAGGCTTCTCTCCAGTTTTTATGTGACCATAATTCGTTTTCCACCACAGACCTGAAAGCGCTCCAAATGTCCACTTGCAGACACTACGAAAAGCATGTTTCAGAACTACTCTATGAAAAGCAATGTGAAACTCTGGGAGTTAAACACAAACATCACAGAGAAGTTTCTGAGAATGCTTCTGTTTAGCTTTTCTGTGAAGATTCTCCCGTTTCCAACGAAATCTTCAAAGAGGTCCAAATATCCACTTGCAGATTCCACAGAAAGAGTGATTGGAAACTGCTGTTTGAAAAGGAACCTTCAACTCTGTGAGTTGAATGCAATCATCACAAAGAAGTTTCTGACAATGCTTCTATCTAGCTTTTACGGGAAGTTAATTCCTTTTCCACCACAGGCCTCAAAGCCCTCCAAATGTCCACTTGCAGATTCTGGAAAAAGAGTGTTTCAAAGCTTCTCTCTCGAAAGGAAAGTTCAACTCTGTGAGTTGAATGCAAGCATCACAAAGAAGTTTCTGAGAATGCTACTGTCTAGCTTTTATATGAAGCTATTTCCTTTACTACCATAGTCCTCAAAGCATTCCATATCTCCACTTGCAGATTCTACACAAAGAGAGTTTCCAAACTGCTCCGTCAAAGGGAATGTTCAGCTCTGTGACTTGAATGCAATCATCACAAAGTAGTTTCTGAGAATGCTTCTGTTTAGTTCTGTGTGGTTTATCCCGTTTCCAACGAAATCCTCAGAGAGGCCCAAATATCCACTTGCACATTCTACAAATAGTGTTTTTCGAAACTGCTCCATCCAAAGGGATTTTCAGCTCTGTGAGTTAAACGCAGTCGTCACCAAGTGTTTTCTGTGAATGCTTCTGTTTTAGTTCTGTGCGGTTTATCCCGTTTCCAACGAAATCCTCAGAGAGGTCCAAATATCCACTTGCAGTTTCTACAAAAAGAGTGTTTCAAAGCTGAACTATCAAAGAAAGGTTCAGCACTGTGAGTTGAATGCAAACATCACGAAGAAGGTTCTGAGGATGCTTCTGTTTAGTTCTGTGCGGTTTATCCCGTTTCCAACGAAATCCTCAGAGAGGACCAAATATCCACTTGCAGTTTCTACAAGAAGAGTGTTTCAAAGCTGAACTATCAAAGAAAGGTTCAGCACTGTGAGTTGAATGCAAACATCACGAAGAGGGTTCTGAGAATGCTTCTGTCTTCTTTTTATAGGAAGTTATTTCCTTTACTACGGTAGGCCTCAAAGAAGTGCAATTATCCCCTTGCAGTCTCTACAAAAAGAGTGTTTCAAACCTGAACTATCAAAGAAAGGTTCCACACTGTGAGTTGAATGCAGACATCACGAAGAAGGTTCCTGAGAATGCTTCTGTTTAGTCAGCTGAAATTATCCCGTTTCCAACGAATTCCTCAAAGAGGTCCAAATATGCACTTGCAGATTCTGCAGAAAGTGTGTTTCTAAACTGCTCCATCGCAAGGAATGTTCAGCTCTGTGAGTTCAACTCAATCATCCCAAAGAATTTTCTGAGAAAGCTTCTGTCTAGATGTCGTGTGAAGATATACCCGTTTCGAACGAAGGACACAGAGTGGTCCAAATATCCACTTGTAGATCCTGCAAAAAGAGTGTTTCAAACGTGAACTTTGAAAGGAAAGTTCAACTCTGGGATTTGAATGCAAACATCACAAAGAAGATTCTGAGACTGCTTCTGTATAGTTTTGATGTGAGGATGATTCCGTTTCCAACGAAATCTTCAAAGAGTTCTACATGTCCCCTTGCAGATGCCACAGAAAGAGAGTTTCAAAACTGCGCTCTCAAAAGGAGTGTTCAACTCCGTGAGTTGAATGCAGTCATCACAGAGAAGCTTCTGAGAATGCTTCTATCTAGTATTTAGGTGAAGATATTTCCTTTTCCACCACAAACCACAAAGCCCTCCAAACTGTCCACTTGCAGATTCTAGAAAAAGAGTGTTTCATAGCTGCTCTTTCCAAAGGAAAGTTCAACTCTGGGAGTTGAATACAAACATCACCAAAAAGTTCCTGAGAATGCATCTGTCTAGTTTTTCTATGAAGCTATTCCCTTTACTACCATAGGCCTCAAAGCGCTCCAAATCTCCACTTGCACATTCCACAACAAGAGTGTTTCCAAACTGCCTCTATCAATAGGAATGTTCAACTCTGTGAGGTGAATGCAATCATCACAAAGCAGTTTCTGAGAATGCTTCCGTTTAGTTAGGTGCAGTTATCCCGTTTCCAACGAAATCCTCAGAGAGGTCCAAATATCCACTTGTAGATTCTACAAAAAGTGTGTCTCAAACCTGCTCCATCCAAAGGAATGGTCAGCTCTGTGATTTAAACTCAATCATCACAAAGTATTTTCTGAGAATGCTTCTGTCTAGATTTTATGCGAAGATATACCCGTCTCGAACGAAGGCCACTGAGTGGTCCAAATAGCCACTTGCAGATCCTACAAAAAGAGTGTTTCAAACCTGAACTATCAAAGGAAGGTTCAACTCTGGGATTTGAATGCAAACATCACCAAGAAGTTTCTGAGAATGCTTCTGTTTAGTTTTTATGTGAAGATATTCCCGTTTCCAAAGACATCTTCGGAGAGGTCCACATATCCACTTGCAGATTCCACAAAAAGAGAGTTTCAACACTGCTCTATCCATAGGAGGGTTCAACTCTGTGAGTTGAATGCAATCATCACAGAGAAGTTTCTGAGAAGGCTTCTCTCCAGTTTTTATGTGACCATAATTCGTTTTCCACCACAGGCCTGAAAGCGCTCCAAATGTCCACTTGCAGACACTACGAAAAGCATGTTTCAGAACTACTCTATGAAAAGCAACGTGAAACTCTGGGAGTTGAACACAAACATCACAGAGAAGTTTCTGAGAATGCTTCTGTTTAGCTTTTCTGTGAAGGTTATCCCGTTTCCAACGAAATCTTCAAAGAGGTCCAAATATCCACTTGCAGATTCCACAGAAAGAGTGTTTGGAAACTGCTGTTTGAAAAGCAACCTTCAACTCTGTCAGTTGAATGCAATCATCACAAAGAAGTTTCTGACAATGCTTCTATCTAGCTTTTACGGGAAGATAATTCCTTTTCCACCCCAGGCCTCAAAGCTCCCCAAATGTCCACTTGCACATTCTGGAAAAAGAGTGTTTCAAAGCTTCTCTCTCGAAAGGAAAGTTCAACTCTGTGAGTTGAATGCAAGCATCACAAAGAAGTTTCTGAGAATGCTACTGTCTAGCTTTTATATGAAGCTATTTCCTTTACTACCATAGGCCTCAAAGCGGTCCATATCTCCACTTGCAGATTCTACACAAAGAGAGTTTCCAAACTGCTCTGTCAAAGGGAATGTTCAACTCTGTGACTTGAATGCAATCATCACAAAGTAGTTTCTGAGAATGCTTCTGTTTAGTTCTGTGCGGTTTATCCCGTTTCCAACGAAATCCTCAGAGAGGCCTAAATATCCACTTGCACATTCTACAAATAGTGTGTTTCGAAACTGCTCCATCCAAAGGAATGTTCAGCTCTGTGAGTTAAACTCAGTCGTCACCAAGAGTTTTCTGTGAATGCTTCTGTTTTAGTTCTGTGCGGGTTATCCCGTTTCCAACGAAATCCTCAGAGCGGTCCAAATATCTACTTGCAGTTTCTACAGAAAGACCGTTTCAAACCTGAACTATCAAAGAAAGGTTCAACACTGTGAGTTGAATGCAAACATCACGAAGAAGGTTCTGAGAATGCTTCTGTTTAGTTCTGTGCGGTTTATCCCGTTTCCAACGAAATCCTCAGAGAGGACCAAATATCCACTTGCAGTTTCTACAAAAAGAGTGTTTCAAAGCTGAACTATCAAAGAAAGGTTCAGCACTGTGAGTTGAATGCAAACATCACGAAGAGGGTTCTGAGAATGCTTCTGTCTTCTTTTTATAGGAAGTTATTTCCTTTACTACGGTAGGCCTCAAAGAAGTGCAATGATCCCCTTGCAGTTTCTACAAAAAGAGTGTTTCAAACCTGAACTATCAAAGAAAGGTTCCACACTGTGAGTTGAATGCAGACATCACGAAGAAGGTTCTGAGAATGCTTCTGTTTAGTCAGCTGAAATTATCCCGTTTCCAACGAATTCCTCAGAGAGGTCCACATATGCACTTGCAGATTCTGCAGAAAGTGTGTTTCTAAACTGCTACATCGCAAGGAATGTTCAGCTCTGTGAGTTCCACTCAATCATCCCAAAGAATTTTCTGAGAAAGCTTCTGTCTAGATGTCATGTGAAGATATACCCGTTTCGAACGAAGGACACAGAGTGGTCCAAATATCCACTTGTAGATCCTGCAAAAAGAGTGTTTCAAACGTGAACTTTGAAAGGAAAGTTCAACTCTGGGATATGAATGCAAACATCACAAAGAAGATTCTGAGACTGCTTCTGTATAGTTTTTATGTGAAGATGATTCCGTTTCCAACGAAATCTTCAAAGAGGTCTACATGTCCCCTTGCAGATGCCACAGAAAGAGAGTTTCAAAACTGCGCTCTCAAAAGGAGTGTTCAACTCCGTGAGTTGAATGCAGTCATCACAGAGAAGCTTCTGAGAATGCTTCTATCTAGTATTTAGGTGAAGATATTTCCTTTTCCACCACAAACCACAAAGCCCTCCAAACGTCCACTTGCAGATTCTAGAAAAAGAGTGTTTCATAGCTGCTCTTTCCAAAGGAAAGTTCAACTCTGGGAGTTGAATACAAACATCACCAAAAGGTTCCTGAGAATGCATCTGTCTAGTTTTTCTATGAAGCTATTCCCTTTACTACCATAGGCCTCAAAGCGCTCCAAATCTCCACTTGCACATTCCACAACAAGAGTGTTTCCAAACTGCTCTATCAATAGGAATGGTCAACTCTGTGAGGTGAATGCAATCATCACAAAGCAGTTTCTGAGAATGCTTCTGTTTAGTTAGGTGCAGTTATCCCGTTTCCAACGAAATCCTCAGAGAGGTCCAAATATCCACTTGTAGATTCTACAAAAAGTGTGTCTCAAACCTGCTCCATCCAAAGGAATGTTCAGCTCTGTGAGTTCAACTCAATCATCACAAAGTATTTTCTGAGAATGCTTCTGTCTAGATTTTATGCGAAGATGTACCCGTTTCGAACGAAGGACACAGAGTGGTCCAAATATCCACTTGCAGATCCTACAAAAAGAGTGTTTCAAACCTGAACTATCAAAGGAAGGTTCAACTCTGGGATTTGAATGCAAACATCACAAAGAAGATTCTGAGACTGCTTCTGTTTAGTTTTTATGTGAAGATATTCCCGTTTCCAAAGACATCTTCGGAGAGGTCCACATATCCACTTGCAGATTCCACAAAAAGAGAGTTTCAACACTGCTCTATCCATAGGAGGGTTCAACTCTGTGAGTTGAATGCAATCATCACAGAGAAGTTTCTGAGAAGGCTTCTCTCCAGTTTTTATGTGACCATAATTCGTTTTCCACCACAGGCCTGAAAGCGCTCCAAATGTCCACTTGCAGACACTACGAAAAGCATGTTTCAGAACTACTCTATGAAAAGCAACGTGAAACTCTGGGAGTTGAACACAAACATCACAGAGAAGTTTCTGAGAATGCTTCTGTTTAGCTTTTCTGTGAAGATTCTCCCGTTTCCAACGAAATCTTCAAAGAGGTCCAAATATCCACTTGCAGATTCCACAGAAAGAGTGATTGGAAACTGCTCTTTGAAAAGGAACCTTCAACTCTGTGAGTTGAATGCAATCATCACAAAGAAGTTTCTGACAATGCTTCTATCTAGCTTTTACAGGAAGATAATTCCTTTTCCACCACAGGCCTCAAAGCCCTCCAAATGTCCACTTGCAGATTCTGGAAAAAGAGTATTTCAAAGCTTCTCTCTCGAAAGGATAGTTCAACTCTGTGAGTTGAATGCAAGCATCACAAAGAAGTTTCTGAGAATGCTACTGTCTAGCTTTTATATGAAGCTATTTCCTTTACTACCATAGGCCTCAAAGCGGTCCATATCTCCACTTGCAGATTCTACACAAAGAGAGTTTCCAAACTGCTCTGTCAAAGGGAATGTTCAACTCTGTGACTTGAATGCAATCATAACAAAGTAGTTTCTGAGAATGCTTCTGTTTAGTTCTGTGCGGTTTATCCCGTTTCCAACGAAATCCTCAGAGAGGCCCACATATCCACTTGCACCTTCTAGAAATAGTGTGTTTCGAAACTGCTCCATCCAAAGGAATGTTCAGCTCTGTGAGTTAAACTCAGTCGTCACCAAGAGTTTTCTGTGAATGCTTCTGTTTTTGTTCTGTGCGGTTTATCCCGTTTCCAACGAAATCCTCAGAGAGGTCCAAATATCTACTTGCAGTTTCCACAGAAAGACCGTTTCAAACCTGAACTATCAAAGAAAGGTTCAACACTGTGAGTTGAATGCAAACATCACGAAGAAGGTTCTGAGAATGCTTCTGTTTTATTTCTGTGCGGTTTATCCCGTTTCCAACGAAATCCTCAGAGAGGACCAAATATCCACTTGCAGTTTCTACAAAAAGAGTGTTTCAAAGCTGCACTATCAAAGAAAGGTTCAGCACTGTGAGTTGAATGCAAACATCACGAAGAGGGCTCTGAGAATTCTTCTGTTTAGTTCTGTGCGGTTTATCCCGTTTCCAACGAAATCCTCAGAGAGGACCAAATATCCACTTGCAGTTTCTACAAAAAGAGTGTTTCAAAGCTGAACTATCAAAGAAAGGTTCAGCACCGTGAGTTGAATGCAGACATCACGAAGAAGGTTCTGAGAATGCTTCTGTCTTCTTTCTATAGGAAGTTATTTCCTTTACTACGGTAGGCCTCAAAGAAGTGCAATTATCCCCTTGCAGTTTCTACAAAAAGAGTGTTTCAAACCTGAACTATCAAAGAAAGGTTCCACACTGTGAGTTGAATGCAGACATCACGAAGAAGGTTCTGAGAATGCTTCTGTTTAGTCAGCTGAAATTATCCCGTTTCCAACGAATTCCTCAGAGAGGTCCAAATATGCACTTGCAGATTCTGCAGAAAGTGTGTTTCTAAACTGCTACATCGCAAGGAATGTTCAGCTCTGTGAGTTCCACTCAATCATCCCAAAGAATTTTCTGAGAAAGCTTCTGTCTAGATGTCATGTGAAGATATACCCGTTTCGAACGAAGGACACAGAGTGGTCCAAATATCCACTTGTAGATCCTGCAAAAAGAGTGTTTCAAACGTGAACTTTGAAAGGAAAGTTCAACTCTGGGATTTGAATGCAAACATCACAAAGAAGATTCTGAGACTGCTTCTGTATAGTTCTGATGTGAAGATGATTCCGTTTCCAACGAAATCTTCAAAGAGTTCTACATGTCCCCTTGCGGATGCCACAGAAAGAGAGTTTCAAAACTGCGCTCTCAAAAGGAGTGTTCAACTCCGTGAGTTGAATGCAGTCATCACAGAGAAGCTTCTGAGAATGCTTCTATCTAGTATTTAGGTGAAGATATTTCCTTTTCCACCACAAACCACAAAGCCCTCCAAACGTCCACTTGCAGATTCTAGAAAAAGAGTGTTTCATAGCTGCTCTTTCCAAAGGAAAGTTCAACTCTGGGAGTTGAATACAAACATCACCAAAAAGTTCCTGAGAATGCATCTGTCTAGTTTTTCTATGAAGCTATTCCCTTTACTACCATAGGCCTCAAAGCGCTCCAAATCTCCACTTGCACATTCCACAACAAGAGTGTTTCCAAACTGCTCTATCAATAGGAATGTTCAACTCTGTGAGGTGAATGCAATCATCACAAAGCAGTTTCTGAGAATGCTTCCGTTTAGTTAGGTGCAGTTATCCCGTTTCCAACGAAATCCTCAGAGAGGTCCAAATATCCACTTGTAGATTCTACAAAAAGTGTGTCTCAAACCTGCTCCATCCAAAGGAATGGTCAGCTCTGTGATTTAAACTCAATCATCACAAAGTATTTTCTGAGAATGCTTCTGTCTAGATTTTATGCGAAGATATACCCGTTTCGAACGAAGGCCACAGAGTGGTCCAAATATCCACTTGCAGATCCTACAAAAAGAGTGTTTCAAACCTGAACTATCAAAGGAAGGTTCAACTCTGGGATTTGAATGCAAACATCACCAAGAAGTTTCTGAGAATGCTTCTGTTTAGTTTTTATGTGAAGATATTCCCGTTTCCAAAGACATCTTCGGAGAGGTCCACATATCCACTTGCAGATTCCACAAAAAGAGAGTTTCAACACTGCTCTATCCATAGGAGGGTTCAACTCTGTGAGTTGAATGCAATCATCACAGAGAAGTTTCTGAGAAGGCTTCTCTCCAGTTTTTATGTGACCATAATTCGTTTTCCACCACAGGCCTGAAAGCGCTCCAAATGTCCACTTGTAGACACTACGAAAAGCATGTTTCAGAACTACTCTATGAAAAGCAATGTGAAACTCTGGGAGTTGAACACAAACATCACAGAGAAGTTTCTGAGAATGCTTCTGTTTAGCTTTCCTGTGAAGATTCTCCCGTTTCCAACGAAATCTTCAAAATAGGTCCAAATATCCACTTGCAGATTCCACACAAAGAGTGATTGGAAACTGCTCTTTGAAAAGGAACCTTCAACTCTGTGAGTTGAATGCAATCATCACAAAGAAGTTTCTGACAATGCTTCTATCTAGCTTTTACGGAAGATAATTCCTTTTCCACCACAGGCCTCAAAGCCCTCCAAATGTCCACTTGCAGATTCTGGAAAAAGAGTGTTTCAAAGCTTCTCTCTCGAAAGGAAAGTTCAAATCTGTGAGTTGAATGCAAGCATCACAAAGAAGTTTCTGAGAATGCTACTGTCTAGCTTTTATATGAAGCTATTTCCTTTACTACCATAGGCCTCAAAGCGGTCCATATCTCCACTTGCAGATTCTACACAAAGAGAGTTTCCAAACTGCTCTGTCAAAGGGAATGTTCAACTCTGTGACTTGAATGCAATCATCACAAAGTAGTTTCTGAGAATGCTTCTGTTTAGTTCTGTGCGGTTTATCCCGTTTCCAACGAAATCCTCAGAGAGGCCTAAATATCCACTTGCACATTCTACAAATAGTGTGTTTCGAAACTGCTCCATCCAAAGGAATGTTCAGCTCTGTGAGTTAAACTCAGTCGTCACCAAGAGTTTTCTGTGAATGCTTCTGTTTTAGTTCTGTGCGGGGTATCCCGTTTCCAACGAAATCCTCAGAGAGGTCCAAATATCTACTTGCAGTTTCTGCAGAAAGACCGTTTCAAACCTGAACTATCAAAGAAAGGTTCAACACTGTGAGTTGAATGCAAACATCACGAAGAAGGTTCTGAGAATGCTTCTGTTTTAGTTCTGTGCGGTTTATCCCGTTTCCAACGAAATCCTCAGAGAGGACCAAACATCCACTTGCAGTTTCTACAAAAAGAGTGTTTCAAAGCTGCACTATCAAAGAAAGGTTCAGCACTGTGAGTTGAATGCAAACATCACGAAGAGGGCTCTGAGAATTCTTCTGTCTTCTTTCTATAGGAAGTTATTTCCTTTACTACGGTAGGCCTCAAAGAAGTGCAATTATCCCCTTGCAGTTTCTACAAAAAGAGTGTTTCAAACCTGAACTATCAAAGAAAGGTTCCACACTGTGAGTTGAATGCAGACATCACGAAGAAGGTTCTGAGAATGCTTCTGTTTAGTCAGCTGAAATTATCCCGTTTCCAACGAATTCCTCAGAGAGGTCCAAATATGCACTTGCAGATTCTGCAGAAAGTGTGTTTCTAAACTGCTACATCGCAAGGAATGTTCAGCTCTGTGAGTTCCACTCAATCATCCCAAAGAATTTTCTGAGAAAGCTTCTGTCTAGATGTCGTGTGAAGATATACCCGTTTCGAACGAAGGACACAGAGTGGTCCAAATATCCACTTGTAGATCCTGCAAAAAGAGTGTTTCAAACGTGAACTTTGAAAGGAAAGTTCAACTCTGGGATTTGAATGCAAACATCACAAAGAAGATTCTGAGACTGCTTCTGTATAGTTTTTATGTGAAGATGATTCCGTTTCCAACGAAATCTTCAAAGAGGTCTACATGTCCCCTTGCAGATGCCACAGAAAGAGAGTTCCAAAACTGCGCTCTCAAAAGGAGTGTTCAACTCCGTGAGTTGAATGCAGTCATCACAGAGAAGCATCTGAGAATGCTTCTTTCTAGTATTTAGGTGAAGATATTTCCTTTTCCACCACAAACCACAAAGCCCTCCAAACGTCCACTTGCAGATTCTAGAAAAAGAGTGTTTCATAGCTGCTCTTTCCAAAGGAAAGTTCAACTCTGGGAGTTGAATACAAACATCACCAAAAAGTTCCTGAGAATGCATCTGTCTAGTTTTTCTATGAAGCTATTCCCTTTACTACCATAGGCCTCAAAGCGCTCCAAATCTCCACTTGCACATTCCACAACAAGAGTGTTTCCAAACTGCTCTATCAATAGGAATGTTCAACTCTGTGAGGTGAATGCAATCATCACAAAGCAGTTTCTGAGAATGCTTCCGTTTAGTTAGGTGCAGTTATCCCGTTTCCAACGAAATCCTCAGAGAGGTCCAAATATCCACTTGTAGATTCTACAAAAAGTGTGTCTCAAACCTGCTCCATCCAACGGAATGTTCAGCTCTGTGAGTTACACTCAATCATCACAAAGTATTTTCTGAGAATGCTTCTGTCTAGATTTTATGCGAAGATGTACCCGTTTCGAAAGAAGGCCACAGAGTGGTCCAAATATCCACTTGCAGATCCTACAAATAGAGTGTTTCAAACCTGAACTATCAAAGGAAGGTTCAACTCTGGGATTTGAATGCAAACATCACCAAGAAGTTTCTGAGAATGCTTCTGTTTAGTTTTTATGTGAAGATATTCCCGTTTCCAAAGACATCTTCGGAGAGGTCCACATATCCACTTGCAGATTCCACAAAAAGAGAGTTTCAACACTGCTCTATCCATAGGAGGGTTCAACTCTGTGAGTTGAATGCAATCATCACAGAGAAGTTTCTGAGAAGGCTTCTCTCCAGTTTTTATGTGACCATAATTCGTTTTCCACCACAGGCCTGAAAGCGCTCCAAATGTCCACTTGCAGACACTACGAAAAGCATGTTTCAGAACTACTCTATGAAAAGCAACGTGAAACTCTGGGAGTTGAACACAAACATCACAGAGAAGTTTCTGAGAATGCTTCTGTTTTAGTTCTGTGCGTTTTATCCCGTTTCCAACGAAATCCTCAGAGAGGCCCAAATATCCACTTGCAGATTCCACAGAAAGAGTGATTGGAAACTGCTGTTTGAAAAGGAACCTTCAACTCTGTGAGTTGAATGCAATCATCACAAAGAAGTTTCTGACAATGCTTCTATCTAGCTTTTACGGGAAGATAATTCCTTTTCCACCACAGGCCTCAAAGCCCTCCAAATGTCCACTTGCAGATTCTGGAAAAAGAGTGTTTCAAAGCTTCTCTCTCGAAAGGAAAGTTCAACTCTGTGAGTTGAATGCAAGCATCACAAAGAAGTTTCTGAGAATGCTACTGTCTAGCTTTTATATGAAGCTATTTCCTTTACTACCATAGGCCTCAAAGCGGTCCATATCTCCACTTGCAGATTCTACACAAAGAGAGTTTCCAAACTGCTCTGTCAAAGGGAATGTTCAACTCTGTGACTTGAATGCAATCATCACAAAGTAGTTTCTGAGAATGCTTCTGTTTAGTTCTGTGCGGTTTATCCCGTTTCCAACGAAATCCTCAGAGAGGCCCACATATCCACTTGCACATTCTACAAATAGTGTGTTTCGAAACTGCTCCATCCAAAGGAATGTTCAGCTCTGTGAGTTAAACTCAGTCGTCACCAAGAGTTTTACTGTGAATGCTTCTGTTTTAGTTCTGTGCGGTTTATCCCGTTTCCAACGAAATCCTCAGAGAGGTCCAAATATCCACTTGCAGTTTCTACAAAAGGAGTGTTTCAAAGCTGAACTATCAAAGAAAGGTTCAGCACTGTGAGTTGAATGCAAACATCACGAAGAAGGTTCTGAGAATGCTTCTGTCTTCTTTCTATAGGAAGTTATTTCCTTTACTACGGTAGGCCTCAAAGAAGTGCAATTATCCCCTTGCAGTTTCTACAAAAAGAGTGTTTCAAACCTGAACTATCAAAGAAAGGTTCCACACTGTGAGTTGAATGCAGACATCACGAAGAAGGTTCTGAGAATGCTTCTGTTTAGTCAGCTGAAATTATCCCGTTTCCAACGAATTCCTCACAGAGGTCCAAATATGCACTTGCAGATTCTGCAGAAAGTGTGTTTCTAAACTGCTACATCGCAAGGAATGCTCAGCTCTGTGAGTTCAACTCAATCATCCCAAAGAATTTTCTGAGAAAGCTTCTGTCTAGATGTCATGTGAAGATATACCCGTTTCGAACGAAGGACACAGAGTGGTCCAAATATCCACTTGTAGATCCTGCAAAGAGAGTGTTTCAAACGTGAACTTTGAAAGGAAAGTTCAACTCTGGGATTTGAATGCAAACATCACAAAGAAGATTCTGAGACTGCTTCTGTATAGTTTTTATGTGAAGATGATTCCGTTTCCAACGAAATCTTCAAAGAGGTCTACATGTCCCCTTGCAGATGCCACAGAAAGAGAGTTTCAAAACTGCGCTCTCAAAAGGAGTGTTCAACTCCGTGAGTTGAATGCAGTCATCACAGAGAAGCTTCTGAGAATGCTTCTATCTAGTATTTAGGTGAAGATATTTCCTTTTCCACCACAAACCACAAAGCCCTCCAAACTTCCACTTGCAGATTCTAGAAAAACAGTGTTTCATAGCTGCTCTTTCCAAAGGAAAGTTCAACTCTGGGAGTTGAATACAAACATCACCAAAAAGTTCCTGAGAATGCATCTGTCTAGTTTTTCTATGAAGCTATTCCCTTTACTACCATAGGCCTCAAAGCGCTCCAAATCTCCACTTGCACATTCCACAACAAGAGTGTTTCCAAACTGCTCTATCAATAGGAATGTTCAACTCTGTGAGGTGAATGCAATCATCACAAAGCAGTTTCTGAGAATGCTTCCGTTTAGTTCGGTGCAGTTATCCCGTTTCCAACGAAATCCTCAGAGAGGTCCAAATATCCACTTGTGGATTCTACAAAAAGTGTGTCTCAAGCCTGCTCCATCCAAAGGAATGTTCAGCTCTGTGAGTTAAACTCAATCATCACAAAGTATTTTCTGAGAATGCTTCTGTCTAGATTTTATGCGAAGATGTACCCGTTTCGAACGAAGGCCACAGAGTGGTCCAAATAGCCACTTGCAGATCCTACAAAAAGAGTGTTTCAAACCTGAACTATCAAAGGAAGGTTCAACTCTGGGATTTGAATGCAAACATCACCAAGAAGTTTCTGAGAATGCTTCTGTTTAGTTTTTATGTGAAGATATTCCCGTTTCCAAAGACATCTTCGGAGAGGTCCACATATCCACTTGCAGATTCCACAAAAAGAGAGTTTCAACACTGCTCTATCCATAGGAGGGTTCAACTCTGTGAGTTGAATGCAATCATCACAGAGAAGTTTCTGAGAAGGCTTCTCTCCAGTTTTTATGTGACCATAATTCGTTTTCCACCACAGGCCTGAAAGCGCTCCAAATGTCCACTTGCAGACACTACGAAAAGCATGTTTCAGAACTACTCTATGAAAAGCAACGTGAAACTCTGGGAGTTGAACACAAACATCACAGAGAAGTTTCTGAGAATGCTTCTGTTTTAGTTCTGTGCGTTTTATCCCGTTTCCAACGAAATCCTCAGAGAGGCCCAAATATCCACTTGCAGATTCCACAGAAAGAGTGATTGGAAACTGCTGTTTGAAAAGGAACCTTCAACTCTGTGAGTTGAATGCAATCATCACAAAGAAGTTTCTGACAATGCTTCTATCTAGCTTTTAAGGGAAGATAATTCCTTTTCCACCACAGGCCTCAAAGCCCTCCAAATGTCCACTTGCAGATTCTGGAAAAAGAGTGTTTCAAAGCTTCTCTCTCGAAAGGAAAGTTCAACTCTGTGAGTTGAATGCAAGCATCACAAAGAAGTTTCTGAGAATGCTACTGTCTAGCTTTTATATGAAGCTATTTCCTTTACTACCATAGGCCTCAAAGCGGTCCATATCTCCACTTGCAGATTCTACACAAAGAGAGTTTCCAAACTGCTCTGTCAAAGGGAATGTTCAACTCTGTGACTTGAATGCAATCATCACAAAGTAGTTTCTGAGAATGCTTCTGTTTAGTTCTGTGCGGTTTATCCCGTTTCCAACGAAATCCTCAGAGAGGCCCACATATCCACTTGCACATTCTACAAATAGTGTGTTTCGAAACTGCTCCATCCAAAGGAATGTTCAGCTCTGTGAGTTAAACTCAGTCGTCACCAAGAGTTTTCTGTGAATGCTTCTGTTTTAGTTCTGTGCGGTTTATCCCGTTTCCAACGAAATCCTCAGAGAGGTCCAAATATCTACTTGCAGTTTCTACAGAAAGACCGTTTCCAACCTGAACTATCAAAGAAAGGTTCAACACTGTGAGTTGAATGCAAACATCACGAAGAAGGTTCTGAGAATGCTTCTGTTTAGTTCTGTGCGTTTTATCCCTTTTCCAACGAAATCCTCAGAGAGGACCAAATATCCACTTGCAGTTTCTACAAAAAGAGTGTTTCAAAGCTGAACTATCAAAGAAAGGTTCAGCACTGTGAGTTCAATGCAAACATCACGAAGAGGGTTCTGAGAATGCTTCTGTCTTCTTTTTATAGGAAGTTATTTCCTTTACTACGGTACTCCTCAAAGAGTGCAATTATCCCCTTGCAGTTTCTACAAAAAGAGTGTTTCAAACCTGAACTATCAAAGAAAGGTTCCACACTGTGAGTTGAATGCAGACATCACGAAGAAGGTTCTGAGAATGCTTCTGTTTAGTCAGCTGAAATTATCCCGTTTCCAACGAATTCCTCACAGAGGTCCAAATATGCACTTGCAGATTCTGCAGAAAGTGTGTTTCTAAACTGCTACATCGCAAGGAATGCTCAGCTCTGTGAGTTCAACTCAATCATCCCAAAGAATTTTCTGAGAAAGCTTCTGTCTAGATGTCATGTGAAGATATACCCGTTTCGATCGAAGGACACAGAGTGGTCCAAATATCCACTTGTAGATCCTGCAAAAAGAGTGTTTCAAACGTGAACTTTGAAAGGAAAGTTCAACTCGGGGATTTGAATGCAAACATCACAAAGAAGATTCTGAGACTGCTTCTGTGTAGTTTTTATGTGAAGATGATTCCGTTTCCAACGAAATCTTCAAAGAGGTCTACATGTCCCCTTGCAGATGCCACAGAAAGAGAGTTTCAAAACTGCGCTCTCAAAAGGAGTGTTCAACTCCGTGAGTTGAATGCAGTCATCACAGAGAAGCTTCTGAGGATGCTTCTATCTAGTATTTAGGTGAAGATATTTCCTTTTCCACCACAAACCACAAAGCCCTCCAAACGTCCACTTGCAGATTCTAGAAAAAGAGTGTTTCATAGCTGCTCTTTCCAAAGGAAAGTTCAACTCTGGGAGTTGAATACAAACATCACCAAAAAGTTCCTGAGAATGCATCTGTCTAGTTTTTCTATGAAGCTATTCCCTTTACTACCATAGGCCCCAAAGCGCTCCAAATCTCCACTTGCACATTCCACAAGAAGAGTGTTTCCAAACTGCTCTATCAATACGAATGTTCAACTCTGTGAGGTGAATGCAATCATCACAAAGCAGTTTCTGAGAATGCTTCCGTTTAGTTAGGTGCAGTTATCCCGTTTCCAACGAAATCCTCAGAGAGGTCCAAATATCCACTTGTAGATTCTACAAAAAGTGTGTCTCAAACCTGCTCCATCCAAAGGAATGGTCAGCTCTGTGATTTAAACTCAATCATCACAAAGTATTTTCTGAGAATGCTTCTGTCTAGATTTTATGTGAAGATGTACCCGTTTCGAACGAAGGCCACAGAGTGGTCCAAATATCCACTTGCAGATCCTACAAAAAGAGTGTTTCAAACCTGAACTATCACAGGAAGGTTCAACTCTGGGATTTGAATGCAAACATCACCAAGAAGTTTCTGAGAATGCTTCTGTTTAGTTTTTATGTGAAGATATTCCCGTTTCCAAAGACATCTTCGGAGAGGTCCACATATCCACTTGCAGATTCCACAAAAAGAGAGTTTCAAGAATGCTCTATCCATAGGAGGGTTCAAATCTGTGAGTTGAATGCAATCATCACAGAGAAGTTTCTGAGAAGGCTTCTCTCCAGTTTTTATGGGACCATAATTCGTTTTCCACCACAGGCCTGAAAGCACTCCAAATGTCCACTTGCAGACACTACGAAAAGCATGTTTCAGAACTACTCTATGAAAAGCAATGTGAAACTCTGGGAGTTGAACACAAACATCACAGAGAAGTTTCTGAGAATGCTTCTGTTTAGCTTTTCTGTGAAGATTCTCCCGTTTCCAACGAAATCTTCAAAGAGGTCCAAATATCCACTTGCAGATTCCACAGAAAGAGTGTTTGGAAACTGCTGTTTGTAAAGGAACCTTCATCTCTGTGAGTTGAATGCAATCATCACAAAGAAGTTTCTGACAATGCTTCTATCTAGCTTTTACGGGAAGATAATTCCTTTTCCACCACAGGCCTCAAAGCCCTCCAAATGTCCACTTGCAGATTCTGGAAAAAGAGTGTTTCAAAGCTTCTCTCTCGAAAGGAAAGTTCAACTCTGTGAGTTGAATGCAAGCATCACAAAGAAGTTTCTGAGAATGCTACTGTCTAGCTTTTATATGAAGCTATTTCCTTTACTACCATAGGCCTCAAAGCGGTCCATATCTCCACTTGCAGATTCTACACAAAGAGAGTTTCCAAACTGCTCTGTCAAAGGGAATGTTCAACTCTGTGACTTGAATGCAATCATCACAAAGTAGTTTCTGAGAATGCTTCTCTTTAGTTCTGTGCGGTTTATCCCGTTTCCAACGAAATCCTCAGCAGAGGCCCAAATATCCACTTGCAGATTCTACAAATAGTGTGTTTCGAAACTGCTCCATCCAAAGGAATGTTCAGCTCTGTGAGTTAAACTCATTCGTCACCAAGAGTTTTCTGTGAATGCTTCTGTTTTAGTTCTGTGCGGTTTATCCCGTTTCCAACGAAATCCTCAGAGCAGGTCCAAATATCTACTTGCAGTTTCTACATAAAGACCGTTTCCAACCTGAACTATCAAAGAAAGGTTCAACACTGTGAGTTGAATGCAAACATCACGAAGAAGGTTCTGAGAATGCTTCTGTATAGTTCTGTGCGGTTTATCCCGTTTCCAACGAAATCCTCAGAGAGGACCAAATATCCACTTGCAGTTTCTACAAAAAGAGTGTTTCAAAGCTGAACTATCAAAGAAAGTTTCAGCACCGTGAATTGAATGCAAACATCACGAAGAGGGTTCTGAGAATGTTTCTGTCTTCTTTTTATAGGAAGTTATTTCCTTTACTACGGTAGGCCTCAAAGAAGTGCAATTATCCCCTTGCAGTTTCTACAAAAAGAGTGTTTCAAACCTGAACTATCAAAGAAAGGTTCCACACTGTGAGTTGAATGCAGACATCACGAAGAAGGTTCTGAGAATGCTTCTGTTTAGTCAGCTGAAATTATCCCGTTTCCAACGAATTCCTCAGAGAGGTCCAAATATGCAATTGCAGATTCTGCAGAAAGTGTGTTTCTAAACTGCTCCATCGCAAGAAATGTTCAGCTCTGTGAGTTCAACTCAAACATCCCAAAGAATTTTCTGAGAAAGCTTCAGTCTAGATGTCATGTGAAGATATACCCGTTTCGAACGAAGGACACAGAGTGGTCCAAATATCCACTTGTAGATCCTGCAAAAAGAGTGTTTCAAACGTGAACTTTGAAAGGAAAGTTCAACTCTGGGATTTGAATGCAAACATCACAAAGAAGATTCTGAGACTGCTTCTGTATAGTTTTTATGTGAAGATGAATTCCGTTTCCAACGAAATCTTCAAAGAGGTCTACATGTCCCCTTGCAGATGCCACAGAAAGAGAGTTTCAAAACTGCGCTCTCAAAAGGAGTGTTCAACTCCGTGAGTTGAATGCAGTCATCACAGAGAAGCTTCTGAGAATGCTTCTATCTAGTATTTAGGTGAAGATATTTCCTTTTCCACCACAAACCACAAAGCCCTCCAAACGTCCACTTGCAGATTCTAGAAAAAGAGTGTTTCATAGCTGCTCTTTCCAAAGGAAAGTTCAACTCTGGGAGTTGAATACAAACATCACCAAAAAGTTCCTGAGAATGCATCTGTCTAGTTTTTCTATGAAGCTATTCCCTTTACTACCATAGGCCTCAAAGCGCTCCAAATCTCCACTTGCACATTCCACAACAAGAGTGTTTCCAAACTGCTCTATCAATAGGAATGTTCAACTCTGTGAGGTGAATGCAATCATCACAAAGCAGTTTCTGAGAATGCTTCCGTTTAGTTAGGTGCAGTTATCCCGTTTCCAACGAAATCCTCAGAGAGGTCCAAATATCCACTTGTAGATTCTACAAAAAGTGTGTCTCAAACCTGCTCCATCCAAAGGAATGGTCAGCTCTGTGATTTAAACTCAATCATCACAAAGTATTTTCTGAGAATGCTTCTGTCTAGATTTTATGCGAAGATATACCCGTTTCGAACGAAGGCCACAGAGTGGTCCAAATAGCCACTTGCAGATCCTACAGAAAGAGTGTTTCAAACCTGAACTATCAAAGGAAGGTTCAACTCTGGGATTTGAATGCAAACATCACCAAGAAGTTTCTGAGAATGCTTCTGTTTAGTTTTTATGTGAAGATATTCCCGTTTCCAAAGACATCTTCGGAGAGGTCCACATATCCACTTGCAGATTCCACAAAAAGAGAGTTTCAACACTGCTCTATCCATAGGGAGGGTTCAACTCTGTGAGTTGAATGCAATCATCACAGAGAAGTTTCTGAGAAGGCTACTCTCTAGTTTTTATGTGACGATAATTCGTTTTCCACCACAGGCCTGAAAGCTCTCCAAATGTCCACTTGCAGATATTCCGAAAAGCATGTTTCAGAACTGCTCTATGAAAAGCAATGTGAAACTCTGTGAGTTGAACGCAAACATCACAGAGAAGTTTCTGAGAATGCTTCTGTTTAGCTTTTCTGTGAAGATTATCCCGTTTCCAACGACATCTTCAAAGAGGTCCAAATATCCACTTGCAGATTCCACAGAAAGAGTGTTTGGAAACTGCTGTTTGAAAAGGAACCTTCAACTCTGTGAGTTGAATGCAATCATCACAAACAAGTTTCTGAGAATGCTTCTATCTAGTTTTTACGGGAAGATAATTCCCTTTCCACCACAGGCCTCAAAGCCCTCCAAATATCCACTTGCAGAGTCTAGAGAAAGAATGTTTCACAGCTTCTCTCTCAACAGGAAAGTTCAACTCTGTGAGTTGAATGCAAACATCACAAAGAAGTTTCTGAGAATGCTACTGTCTAGCTTTTATATGAAGCTATTTCCTTTACTACCATAGGCCTCAAAGCGGTCCATATCTCCACTTGCAGATTCTACACAAAGAGAGTTTCCAAACTGCTCTGTCAAAGGGAATGTTCAACTCTGTGACTTGAATGCAATCATCACAAAGTAGTTTCTGAGAATGCTTCTGTTTAGTTCTGTGCGGTTTATCCCGTTTCCAACGAAATCCTCAGAGAGGCCCAAATATCCACTTGCACATTCTACAAATAGTGTGCTTCGAAACTGCTCCATCCAAAGGAATGTTCAGCTCTGTGAGTTAAACTCATTCGTCACCAAGAGTTTTCTGTGAATGCTTCTGTTTTAGTTCTGTGCGGGTTATCCCGTTTCCAACGAAATCCTCAGAGAGGTCCAAATATCTACTTGCAGTTTCTACAGAAAGACCGTTTCAAACCTGAACTATCAAAGAAAGGTTCAACACTGTGAGTTGAATGCAAACATCACGAAGAAGGTTCTGAGAATGCTTCTGTTTAGTTCTGTGCGGTTTATCCCGTTTCCAACGAAATCCTCAGAAAGGACCATATATCCACTTGCAGTTTCTACAAGAAGAGTGTTTCAAAGCTGAACTATCAAAGAAAGGTTCAGCACTGTGAGTTGAATGCAAACATCACGAAGAGGGTTCTGAGAATGCTTCTGTCTTCTTTCTATAGGAAGTTATTTCCTTTACTACGGTAGGCCTCAAAGAAGTGCCATTATCCCCTTGCAGTTTCTACAAAAAGAGTGTTTCAAACCTGAACTATCAAAGAAAGGTTCCACACTGTGAGTTGAATGCAGACATCACGAAGAAGGTTCTGAGAATGCTTCTGTTTAGTCAGCTGAAATTATCCCGTTTCCAACGAATTACTCTGAGAGGTCCAAATATGCACTTGCAGATTCTGCAGAAAGTGTGTTTCTAAACTGCTACATCGCAAGGAATGTTCAGCTCTGTGAGTTCAACTCAATCATCCCAAAGAATTTTCTGAGAAAGCTTCTGTCTAGATGTCGTGTGAAGATATACCCGTTTCGAACGAAGGACACAGAGTGGTCCAAATATCCACTTGTAGATCCTGCAAAAAGAGTGTTTCAAACGTGAACTTTGAAAGGAAAGTTCAACTCTGGGATTTGAATGCAAACATCACAAAGAAGATTCTGAGACTACTTCTGTATAGTTTTTATGTGAAGATGATTCCGTTTCCAACGAAATCTTCAAAGAGGTCTACATGTCCCCTTGCAGATGCCACAGAAAGGGAGTTTCAAAACTGCGCTCTCAAAAGGAGTGTTCAACTCCGTGAGTTGAATGCAGTCATCACAGAGAAGCTTCTGAGAAAGCTTCTATCTAGTATTTAGGTGAAGATATTTCCTTTTCCACCACAAACCACAAAGCCCTCCAAACGTCCACTTGCAGATTCTAGAAAAAGAGTGTTTCATAGCTGCTCTTTCCAAAGGAAAGTTCAACTCTGGGAGTTGAATACAAACATCACCAAAAAGTTCCCTGAGAATGCATTCTGTCTAGTTTTTCTATGAAGCTATTCCCTTTACTACCATAGGCCTCAAAGCGCTCCAAATCTCCACTTGCACATTCCACAACAAGAGTGTTTCCAAACTGCTCTATCAATAGGAATGTTCAACTCTGTGAGGTGAATGCAATCATCACAAAGCAGTTTCTGAGAATGCTTCCGTTTAGTTAGGTGCAGTTATCCCGTTTCCAACGAAATCCTCAGAGAGGTCCAAATATCCACTTGTAGATTCTACAAAAAGTGTGTCTCAAACCTGCTCCATCCAAAGGAATGTTCAGCTCTGTGAGTTAAACTCAATCATCACAAAGTATATTCTGAGAATGCTTCTGTCTAGATTTTATGCGAAGATATACCCGTTTCGAACGAAGGCCACAGAGTGGTCCAAATATCCACTTGCAGATCCTACAAAAAGAGTGTTTCAAACCTGAACTATCAAAGGAAGGTTCAACTCTGGCATTTGAATGCAAACATCACCAAGAAGTTTCTGAGAATGCTTCTGTTTAGTTTTTATGTGAAGATATTCCCGTTTCCAAAGACATCTTCGGAGAGGTCCACATATCCACTTGCAGATTCCACAAAAAGAGAGTTTCAACACTGCTCTATCCATAGGAGGGTTCAACTCTGTGAGTTGAATGCAATCATCACAGAGAAGTTTCTGAGAAGGCTTCTCTCCAGTTTTTATGTGACCATAATTCGTTTTCCACCACAGGCCTGAAAGCGCTCCAAATGTCCACTTGCAGACACTACGAAAAGCATGTTTCAGAACTACTCTATGAAAAGCAATGTGAAACTCTGGGAGTTGAACACAAACATCACAGAGAAGTTTCGGAGAATGCTTCTGTTTAGCTTTTCTGTGAAGATTCTCCCGTTTCCAACGAAATCTTCAAAGAGGTCCAAATATCCACTTGCAGATTCCACAGAAAGAGTGATTGGAAACTGCTCTTTGAAAAGGAACCTTCAACTCTGTGAGTTGAATGCAATCATCACAAAGAAGTTTCTGACAATGCTTCTATCTAGCTTTTACGGGAAGATAATTCCTTTTCCACCACAGGCCTCAAAGCCCTCCAAATGTCCACTTGCAGATTCTGGAAAAAGAGTGTTTCAAAGCTTCTCTCTCGAAAGGAAAGTTCAACTCTGTGAGTTGAATGCAAGCATCACAAAGAAGTTTCTGAGAATGCTACTGTCTAGCTTTTATATGAAGGTATTTCCTTTACTACCATAGGCCTCAAAGCGGTCCATATCTCCACTTGCAGATTCTACACAAAGAGAGTTTCCAAACTGCTCTGTCAAAGGGAATGTTCAACTCTGTGACTTGAATGCAATCATCACAAAGTAGTTTCTGAGATTGCTTCTGTTTTACTTCTGTGCGTTTTATCCCGTTTCCAACGAAATCCTCAGAGAGGCCCAAATATCCACTTGCAGATTCTACAAATAGTGTGTTTCGAAACTGCTCCATCCAAAGGAATGTTCAGCTCTGTGAGTTAAACTCAGTCGTCACCAAGAGTTTTCTGTGAATGCTTCTGTTTTAGTTCTGTGCGGTTTATCCCGTTTCCAACGAAATCCTCAGAGAGGACCAAATATCCACTTGCAGTTTCTACAAAAAGAGTGTTTCAAAGCTGCACTATCAAAGAAAGGTTCAGCACTGTGAGTTGAATGCAAACATCACGAAGAGGGCTCTGAGAATTCTTCTATCTTCTTTGTATAGGAAGTTATTTCCTTTACTACGGTAGGCCTCAAAGAAGTGCAATTATCCCCTTGCAGTTTCTACAAAAAGAGTGTTTCAAACCTGAACTATCAAAGAAAGGTGCCACACTGTGAGTTGAATGCAGACATCACGAAGAAGATTCTGAGAATGCTTCTGTTTAGTCAGCTGAAATTATCCCGTTTCCAACGAATTCCTCAGAGAGGTCCAAATATGCACTTGCAGATTCTGCAGAAAGTGTGTTTCTAAACTGCTCCATCGCAAGGAATGTTCAGCTCTGTGAGTTCAACTCAATCATCCCAAAGAATTTTCTGAGAAAGCTTCTGTCTAGATGTCATGTGAAGATATACCCGTTTCGAACGAAGGACACAGAGTGGTCCAAATATCCACTTGTAGATCCTGCAAAAAGAGTGTTTCAAACGTGAACTTTGAAAGGAAAGTTCAACTCTGGGATTTGAATGCAAACATCACAAAGAAGATTCTGATACTGCTTCTGTATAGTTTTTATGTGAAGATGATTCCGTTTCCAACGAAATCTTCAAAGAGGTCTACATGTCCCCTTGCAGATGCCACAGAAAGAGAGTTTCAAAACTGCGCTCTCAAAAGGAGTGTTCAACTCCGTGAGTTGAATGCAGTCATCACAGAGAAGCTTCTGAGAATGCTTCTCTCTAGTATTTAGGTGAAGATATTTCCTTTTCCACCACAAACCACAAAGCCCTCCAAACGTCCACTTGCAGATTCTAGAAAAAGAGTGTTTCATAGCTGCTCTTTCCAAAGGAAAGTTCAACTCTGGGAGTTGAATGCAAACATCACCAAAAAGTTCCTGAGAATGCATCTGTCTAGTTTTTCTATGAAGCTATTCCCTTTACTACCATAGGCCTCAAAGCGCTCCAAATCTCCACTTGCACATTCCACAACAAGAGTGTTTCCAAACTGCTCTATCAATAGGAATGTTCAACTCTGTGAGGTGAATGCAATCATCACAAAGCAGTTTCTGAGAATGCTTCCGTTTAGTTAGGTGCAGTTATCGCGTTTCCAACGAAATCCTCAGAGAGGTCCAAATATCCACTTGTAGATTCTACAAAAAGTGTGTCTCAAACCTGCTCCATCCAAAGGAATGTTCAGCTCTGTGAGTTAAACTCAATCATCACAAAGTATTTTCTGAGAATGCTTCTGTCTAGATTTTATGCGAAGATATACCCGTTTCGAACGAAGGCCACAGAGTGGTCCAAATAGCCACTTGCAGATCCTACAGAAAGAGTGTTTCAAACCTGAACTATCAAAGGAAGGTTCAACTCTGGGATTTGAATGCAAACATCACCAAGAAGTTTCTGAGAATGCTTCTGTTTAGTTTTTATGTGAAGATATTCCCGTTTCCAAAGACATCTTCGGAGGGGTCCACATATCCACTTGCAGATTCCACAAAAAGAGAGTTTCAACACTGCTCTATCCATAGGAGGTTTCAAATCTGTGAGTTGAATGCAATCATCACAGAGAAGTTTCTCAGAAGGCTTCTCTCCAGTTTTTATGTGACCATAATTCGTTTTCCACCACAGGCCTGAAAGCGCTCCAAATGTCCACTTGCAGACACTAGGAAAAGCATGTTTCAGAACTACTCTATGAGAAGCAATGTGAAACTCTGGGAGTTGAACACAAACATCACAGAGAAGTTTCTGAGAATGCTTCTGTTTTAGTTCTGTGCGTTTTATCCCGTTTCCAACGAAATCCTCAGAGAGGCCCAAATATCCACTTGCAGATTCCACAGAAAGAGTGATTGGAAACTGCTGTTTGAAAAGGAACCTTCAACTCTGTGAGTTGAATGCAATCATCACAAAGAAGTTTCTGACAATGCTTCTATCTAGCTTTTACGGGAAGATAATTCCTTTTCCACCACAGGCCTCAAAGCCCTCCAAATGTCCACTTGCAGATTCTGGAAAAAGAGTGTTTCAAAGCTTCTCTCTCGAAAGGAAAGTTCAACTCTGTGAGTTGAATGCAAGCATCACAAAGAAGTTTCTGAGAATGCTACTGTCTAGCTTTTATATGAAGCTATTTCCTTTACTACCATAGGCCTCAAAGCGGTCCATATCTCCACTTGCAGATTCTACACAAAGAGAGTTTCCAAACTGCTCTGTCAAAGGGAATGTTCAACTCTGTGACTTGAATGCAATCATCACAAAGTAGTTTCTGAGAATGCTTCTGTTTAGTTCTGTGCGGTTTATCCCGTTTCCAACGAAATCCTCAGAGAGGCCCAAATATCCACTTGCACATTCTACAAATAGTGTGTTTCGAAACTGCTCCATCCAAAGGAATGTTCAGCTCTGTGAGTTAAACTCAGTCGTCACCAAGAGTTTTCTGTGAATGCTTCTGTTTTAGTTCTGTGCGGGTTATCCCGTTTCCAACGAAATCCTCAGAGAGGTCCAAATATCTACTTGCAGTTTCTACAGAAAGACCGTTTCAAACCTGAACTATCAAAGAAAGGTTCAACACTGTGAGTTGAATGCAAACATCACGAAGAAGGTTCTGAGAATGCTTCTGTTTTAGTTCTGTGCGGTTTATCCCGTTTCCAACGAAATCCTCAGAGAGGACCAAACATCCACTTGCAGTTTCTACAAAAAGAGTGTTTCAAAGCTGCACTATCAAAGAAAGGTTCAGCACTGTGAGTTGAATGCAAACATCACGAAGAGGGCTCTGAGAATTCTTCTGTCTTCTTTCTATAGGAAGTTATTTCCTTTACTACGGTAGGCCTCAAAGAAGTGCAATTATCCCCTTGCAGTTTCTACAAAAAGAGTGTTTCAAAGCTGAACTATCAAAGAAAGGTTCCACACTGTGAGTTGAATGCAGACATCACGAAGAAGGTTCTGAGAATGCTTCTGTTTAGTCAGCTGAAATTATCCCGTTTCCAACGAATTCCTCAGAGGAGGTCCAAATATGCACTTGCAGATTCTGCAGAAAGTGTGTTTCTAAACTGCTACATCGCAAGGAATGTTCAGCTCTGTGAGTTCCACTCAATCATCCCAAAGGATTTTCTGAGAAAGCTTCTGTCTAGATGTCATGTGAAGATATACCCGTTTCGAACGAAGGACACAGAGTGGTCCAAATATCCACTTGTAGATCCTGCAAAAAGAGTGTTTCAAACGTGAACTTTGAAAGGAAAGTTCAACTCTGGGATTTGAATGCAAACATCACAAAGAAGATTCTGAGACTGCTTCTGTATAGTTTTTATGTGAAGATGATTCCGTTTCCAACGAAATCTTCAAAGAGGTCTACATGTCCCCTTGCAGATGCCACAGAAAGAGAGTTTCAAAACTGCACTCTCAAAAGGAGTGTTCAGCTCCGTGAGTTGAATGCAGTCATCACAGAGAAGCTTCTGAGAATGCTTCTATCTAGTATTTAGGTGAAGATATTTCCTTTTCCACCACAAACCACAAAGCCCTCCAAACGTCCACTTGCAGATTCTAGAAAAAGAGTGTTTCATAGCTGCTCTTTCCAAAGGAAAGTTCAACTCTGGGAGTTGAATACAAACATCACCAAAAAGTTCCTGAGAATGCATCTGTCTAGTTTTTCTATGATGCTATTCCCTTTACTACCATAGGCCTCAAAGCGCTCCAAATCTCCACTTGCACATTCCACAACAAGAGTGTTTCCAAACTGCTCTATCAATAGGAATGTTCAACTCTGTGAGGTGAATGCAATCATCACAAAGCAGTTTCTGAGAATGCTTCCGTTTAGTTAGGTGCAGTTATCCCGTTTCCAACGAAATCCTCAGAGAGGTCCAAATATCCACTTGTAGATTCTACAAAAAGTGTGTCTCAAACCTGCTCCATCCAAAGGAATGGTCAGCTCTGTGATTTAAACTCAATCATCACAAAGTATTTTCTGAGAATGCTTCTGTCTAGATTTTATGCGAAGATATACCCGTTTCGAACGAAGGCCACAGAGTGGTCCAAATATCCACTTGCAGATCCTACAAAAAGAGTGTTTCAAACCTGAACTATCAAAGGAAGGTTCTACTCTGGGATTTGAATGCAAACATCACCAAGAAGTTTCTGAGAATGCTTCTGTTTAGCTTTCCTGTGAAGATTCTCCCGTTTCCAACGAAATCTTCAAAATAGGTCCAAATATCCACTTGCAGATTCCACAGAAAGAGTGATTGGAAACTGCTCTTTGAAAAGGAACCTTCAACTCTGTGAGTTGAATGCAATCATCACAGAGAAGTTTCTGAGAAGGCTTCTATCTAGCTTTTACGGGAAGATAATTCCTTTTCCACCACAGGCCTCAAAGCCCTCCAAATGTCCACTTGCAGATTCTGGAAAAAGAGTGTTTCAAAGCTTCTCTCTCGAAAGGAAAGTTCAACTCTGTGAGTTGAATGCAAGCATCACAAAGAAGTTTCTGAGAATGCTACTGTCTAGCTTTTATATGAAGCTATTTCCTTTACTACCATAGGCCTCAAAGCGGTCCATATCTCCACTTGCAGATTCTACACAAAGAGAGTTTCCAAACTGCTCTGTCAAAGGGAATGTTCAACTCTGTGACTTGAATGCAATCATCACAAAGTAGTTTCTGAGAATGCTTCTGTTTTAGTTCTGTGCGTTTTATCCCGTTTCCAACGAAATCCTCAGAGAGGCCCAAATATCCACTTGCACATTCTACAAATAGTGTGTTTCGAAACTGCTCCATCCAAAGGAATGTTCAGCTCTGTGAGTTAAACTCAGTCGTCACCAAGAGTTTTCTGTGAATGCTTCTGTTTTAGTTCTGTGCGGTTTATCCCGTTTCCAACGAAATCCTCAGAGAGGACCAAATATCCACTTGCAGTTTCTACAAAAAGAGTGTTTCAAAGCTGCACTATCAAAGAAAGGTTCAGCACTGTGAGTTGAATGCAAACATCACGAAGAGGGCTCTGAGAATGCTTCCGTTTTAGTTCCGTGCGGTTTATCCCGTTTCCAACGAAATCCTCAGAGAGGACCAAATATCCACTTGCAGTTTCTACAAAAAGAGTGTTTCAAAGCTGCACTATCAAAGAAAGGTTCAGCACTGTGAGTTGAATGCAAACATCACGAAGAGGGTTCTGAGAACGCTTCTGTTTAGTTCTGTGCGGTTTATCCCGTTTCCAACGAAATCCTCAGAGAGGACCAAATATCCACTTGCAGTTTCTACAAGAAGAGTGTTTCAAAGCTGAACTATCAAAGAAAGGTTCAGCACTGTGAGTTGAATGCAAACATCACGAAGAGGGTTCTGAGAATGCTTCTGTCTTCTTTCTATAGCAAGTTATTTCCTTTACTACGGTAGGCCTCAAAGAAGTGCAATTATCCCCTTGCAGTTTCTACAAAAAGAGTGTTTCAAACCTGAACTATCAAAGAAAGGTTCCACACTGTGAGTTGAATGCAGACATCACGAAGAAGGTTCTGAGAATGCTTCTGTTTAGTCAGCTGAAATTATCCCGTTTCCAACGAATTCCTCAGAGAGGTCCAAATATGCACTTGCAGATTCTGCAGAAAGTGTGTTTCTAAACTGCTACATCGCAAGGAATGTTCAGCTCTGTGAGTTCAACTCAATCATCCCAAAGAATTTTCTGAGAAAGCTTCTGTCTAGATGTCATGTGAAGATATACCCGTTTCGAAGGAAGGACACAGAGTGGTCCAAATATCCACTTGTAGATCCTGCAAAAAGAGAGTTTCAAACGTGAACTTTGAAAGGAAAGTTCAACTCTGGGATTTGAATGCAAACATCACAAAGAAGATTCTGAGACTGCTTCTGTATAGTTTTTATGTGAAGATGATTCCGTTTCCAACGAAATCTTCAAAGAGGTCTACATGTCCCCTTGCAGATGCCACAGAAAGAGAGTTTCAAAACTGCGCTCTCAAAAGGAGTGTTCAACTCCGTGAGTTGAATGCAGTCATCACAGAGAAGCTTCTGAGAATGCTTCTATCTAGTATTTAGGTGAAGATATTTCCTTTTCCACCACAAACCACAAAGCCCTCCAAACGTCCACTTGCAGATTCTAGAAAAAGAGTGTTTCATAGCTGCTCTTTCCAAAGGAAAGTTCAACTCTGGGAGTTGAATACAAACATCACCAAAAAGTTCGTGAGAATGCATCTGTCTAGTTTTTCTATGAAGCTATTCCCTTTACTACCATAGGTCTCAAAGCGCTCCAAATCTCCACTTGCACATTCCACAACAAGAGTGTTTCCAAACTGCTCCATCAATAGGAATGTTCAACTCTGTGAGGTGAATGCAATCATCACAAAGCAGTTTCTGAGAATGCTTCCGTTTAGTTAGGTGCAGTTATCCCGTTTCCAACGAAATCCTCAGAGAGGTCCAAATATCCACTTGTAGATTCTACAAAAAGGGTGTCTCAAACCTGCTCCATCCAAAGGAATGTTCAGCTCTGTGAGTTCAACTCAATCATCGCAATGTATTTTCTGAGAATGCTTCTGTCTAGATTTTATGCGAAGATATACCCGTTTCGAACGAAGGCCACAGAGTGGTCCAAATAGCCACTTGCAGATCCTACAGAAAGAGTGTTTCAAACCTGAACTATCAAAGGAAGGTTCAACTCTGGGATTTGAATGCAAACATCACCAAGAAGTTTCTGAGAATGCTCTGTTTAGTTTTTATGTGAAGATATTCCCGTTTCCAAAGACATCTTCGGAGAGGTCCACATATCCACTTGCAGATTCCACAAAAAGAGAGTTTCAACACTGCTCTATCCATAGGAGGGTTCAACTCTGTGAGTTGAATGCAATCATCACAGAGAAGTTTCTGAGAAGGCTTTCTCTCCAGTTTTTATGTGACCATAATTCGTTTTCCACCACAGGCCTGAAAGCGCTCCAAATGTCCACTTGTAGACACTACGAAAAGCATGTTTCAGAACTACTCTATGAAAAGCAATGTGAAACTCTGGGAGTTGAACACAAACATCACAGAGAAGTTTCTGAGAATGCTTCTGTTTTAGTTCTGTGCGTTTTATCCCGTTTCCAACGAAATCCTCAGAGAGGCCCAAATATCCACTTGCAGATTCCACAGAAAGAGTGATTGGAAACTGCTGTTTGAAAAGGAACCTTCAACTCTGTGAGTTGAATGCAATCATCACAAAGAAGTTTCTGACAATGCTTCTATCTAGCTTTTACGGGAAGATAATTCCTTTTCCACCACAGGCCTCAAAGCCCTCCAAATGTCCACTTGCAGATTCTGGAAAAAGAGTGTTTCAAAGCTTCTCTCTCGAAAGGAAAGTTCAACTCTGTGAGTTGAATGCAAGCATCACAAAGAAGTTTCTGAGAATGCTACTGTCTAGCTTTTATATGAAGCTATTTCCTTTACTACCATAGGCCTCAAAGCGGTCCATATCTCCACTTGCAGATTCTACACAAAGAGAGTTTCCAAACTGCTCTGTCAAAGGGAATGTTCAACTCTGTGACTTGAATGCAATCATCACAAAGTAGTTTCTGAGAATGCTTCTGTTTTAGTTCTGTGCAGTTTATCCCGTTTCCAACGAAATCCTCAGAGAGGCCCAAATATCCACTTGCAGATTCTACAAATAGTGTGTTTCGAAACTGCTCCATCCAAAGGAATGTTCAGCTCTGTGAGTTAAACTCAGTCGTCACCAAGAGTTTTCTGTGAATGCTTCTGTTTTAGTTCTGTGCGGTTTATCCCGTTTCCAACGAAATCCTCAGAGAGGACCAAACATCCACTTGCAGTTTCTACAAAAAGAGTGTTTCAAAGCTGCACTATCAAAGAAAGGTTCAGCACTGTGAGTTGAATGCAAACATCACGAAGAGGGCTCTGAGAATTCTTCTGTCTTCTTTCTATAGGAAGTTATTTCCTTTACTACGGTAGGCCTCAAAGAAGTGCAATTATCCCCTTGCAGTTTCTACAAAAAGAGTGTTTCAAACCTGAACTATCAAAGAAAGGTTCCACACTGTGAGTTGAATGCAGACATCACGAAGAAGGTTCTGAGAATGCTTCTGTTTAGTCAGCTGAAATTATCCCGTTTCCAACGAATTCCTCACAGAGGTCCAAATATGCACTTGCAGATTCTGCAGAAAGTGTGTTTCTAAACTGCTACATCGCAAGGAATGCTCAGCTCTGTGAGTTCAACTCAATCATCCCAAAGAATTTTCTGAGAAAGCTTCTGTCTAGATGTCATGTGAAGATATACCCGTTTCGAACGAAGGACACAGAGTGGTCCAAATATCCACTTGTAGATCCTGCAAAAAGAGTGTTTCAAACGTGAACTTTGAAAGGAAAGTTCAACTCTGGGATTTGAATGCAAACATCACAAAGAAGATTCTGAGACTGCTTCTGTATAGTTTTTATGTGAAGATGATTCCGTTTCCAACGAAATCTTCAAAGAGGTCTACATGTCCCCTTGCAGATGCCACAGAAAGAGAGTTTCAAAACTGCGCTCTCAAAAGGAGTGTTCAACTCCGTGAGTTGAATGCAGTCATCACAGAGAAGCTTCTGAGAATGCTTCTATCTAGTATTTAGGTGAAGATATTTCCTTTTCCACCACAAACCACAAAGCCCTCCAAACGTCCACTTGCAGATTCTAGAAAAAGAGTGTTTCATAGCTGCTCTTTCCAAAGGAAAGTTCAACTCTGGGAGTTGAATACAAACATCACCAAAAAGTTCCTGAGAATGCATCCTGTCTAGTTTTTCTATGAAGCTATTCCCTTTACTACCATAGGCCTCAAAGCGCTCCAAATCTCCACTTGCACATTCCACAACAAGAGTGTTTCCAAACTGCTCTATCAATAGGAATGTTCAACTCTGTGAGGTGAATGCAATCATCACAAAGCAGTTTCTGAGAATGCTTCCGTTTAGTTAGGTGCAGTTATCCGGTTTCCAACGAAATCCTCAGAGAGGTCCAAATATCCACTTGTAGATTCTACAAAAAGTGTGTCTCAAACCTGCTCCATCCAAAGGAATGTTCAGCTCTGTGAGTTCAACGCAATCATCACAAAGTATTTTCTGAGAATGCTTCTGTCTAGATTTTATGCGAAGATGTACCCGTTTCGAACGAAGGCCACAGAGTGGTCCAAATATCCACTTGCAGATCCTACAAAAAGAGTGTTTCAAACCTGAACTATCAAAGGAAGGTTCAACTCTGGGGTTTGAATGCCAACATCACCAAGAAGTTTCTGAGAATGCTTCTGTTTAGTTTTTATGTGAAGATATTCCCGTTTCCAAAGACATCTTCGGAGAGGTCCACATATCCACTTGCAGATTCCACAAAAAGAGAGTTTCAACACTGCTCTATCCATAGGAGGGTTCAACTCTGTGAGTTGAATGCAATCATCACAGAGAAGTTTCTGAGAAGGCTTCTCTCCAGTTTTTATGTGACCATAATTCGTTTTCCACCACAGGCCTGAAAGCGCTCCAAATGTCCACTTGCAGACACTACGAAAAGCATGTTTCAGAAGTACTCTATGAAAAGCAACGTGAAACTCTGGGAGTTGAACACAAACATCACAGAGAAGTTTCTGAGAATGCTTCTGTTTTAGTTCTGTGCGTTTTATCCCGTTTCCAACGAAATCCTCAGAGAGGCCCAAATATCCACTTGCAGATTCCACAGAAAGAGTGATTGGAAACTGCTGTTTGAAAAGGAACCTTCAACTCTGTGAGTTGAATGCAATCATCACAAAGAAGTTTCTGACAATGCTTCTATCTAGCTTTTACGGGAAGATAATTCCTTTTCCACCACAGGCCTCAAAGCCCTCCAAATGTCCACTTGCAGATTCTGGAAAAAGAGTGTTTCAAAGCTTCTCTCTCGAAAGGAAAGTTCAACTCTGTGAGTTGAATGCAAGCATCACAAAGAAGTTTCTGAGAATGCTACTGTCTAGCTTTTATATGAAGCTATTTCCTTTACTACCATAGGCCTCAAAGCGGTCCATATCTCCACTTGCAGATTCTACACAAAGAGAGTTTCCAAACTGCTCTGTCAAAGGGAATGTTCAACTCTGTGACTTGAATGCAATCATCACAAAGTAGTTTCTGAGAATGCTTCTGTTTAGTTCTGTGCGGTTTATCCCGTTTCCAACGAAATCCTCAGAGAGGCCCACATATCCACTTGCACATTCTACAAATAGTGTGTTTCGAAACTGCTCCATCCAAAGGAATGTTCAGCTCTGTGAGTTAAACTCAGTCGTCACCAAGAGTTTTCTGTGAATGCTTCTGTTTTAGTTCTGTGCGGTTTATCCCGTTTCCAACGAAATCCTCAGAGAGGTCCAAATATCTTCTTGCAGTTTCTACAGAAAGACCGTTTCAAACCTGAACTATCAAAGAAAGGTTCAACACTGTGAGTTGAATGCAAACATCACGAAGAAGGTTCTGAGAATGCTTCTGTTTTAGTTCTGTGCGTTTTATCCCGTTTCCAACGAAATCCTCAGAGAGGACCAAATATCCACTTGCAGTTTCTACAAAAAGAGTGTTTCAAAGCTGCACTATCAAAGAAAGGTTCAGCACTGTGAGTTGAATGCAAACACCACGAAGAGGGCTCTGAGAATTCTTCTGTCTTCTTTCTATAGGAAGTTATTTCCTTTACTACGGTAGGCCTCAAAGAAGTGCAATTATCCCCTTGCAGTTTCTACAAAAAGAGTGTTTCAAACCTGAACTATCAAAGAAAGGTTCCACACTGTGAGTTGAATGCAGACATCACGAAGAAGGTTCTGAGAATGCTTCTGTTTAGTCAGCTGAAATTATCCCGTTTCCAACGAATTCCTCAGAGAGGTCCAAATATGCACTTGCAGATTCTGCAGAAAGTGTGTTTCTAAACTGCTACATCGCAAGGAATGTTCAGCTCTGTGAGTTCCACTCAATCATCCCAAAGAATTTTCTGAGAAAGCTTCTGTCTAGATGTCATGTGAAGATATACCCGTTTCGAACGAAGGACACAGAGTGGTCCAAATATCCACTTGTAGATCCTGCAAAAAGAGTGTTTCAAACGTGAACTTTGAAAGGAAAGTTCATCTCTGGGATTTGAATGCAAACATCACAAAGAAGATTCTGAGACTGCTTCTGTATATTTTTTATGTGAAGATGATTCCGTTTCCAACGAAATCTTCAAAGAGGTCCACATGTCCCCTTGCAGATGCCACAGAAAGAGAGTTTCAAAACTGCGCTCTCAAAAGGAGTGTTCAACTCCGTGAGTTGAATGCAGTCATCACAGAGAAGCTTCTGAGAATGCTTCTATCTAGTATTTAGGTGAAGATATTTCCTTTTCCACCACAAACCACAAAGCCCTCCAAACGTCCACTTGCAGATTCTAGAAAAGGAGTGTTTCATAGCTGCTCTTTCCAAAGGAAAGTTCAACTCTGGGAGTTGAATACAAACATCACCAAAAAGTTCCTGAGAATGCATCTGTCTAGTTTTTCTATGAAGCTATTCCCTTTACTACCATAGGCCTCAAAGCGCTCCAAATCTCCACTTGCACATTCCACAACAAGAGTGTTTCCAAACTGCTCTATCAATAGGAATGTTCAACTCTGTGAGGTGAATGCAATCATCACAAAGCAGTTTCTGAGAATGCTTCCGTTTAGTTAGGTGCAGTTATCCCGTTTCCAACGAAATCCTCAGAGAGGGTCCAAATATCCACTTGTAGATTCTACAAAAAGTGTGTCTCAAACCTGCTCCATCCAAAGGAATGGTCAGCTCTGTGATTTAAACTCAATCATCACAAAGTATTTTCTGAGAATGCTTCTGTCTAGATTTTATGCGAAGATGTACCCGTTTCGAACGAAGGCCACAGAGTGGTCCAAATATCCACTTGCAGATCCTACAAAAAGAGTGTTTCAAACCTGAACTCTCAAAGGAAGGTTCAACTCTGGGATTTGAATGCAAACATCACCAAGAAGTTTACTGAGAATGCTTCTGTTTAGTTTTTATGTGAAGATATTCCCGTTTCCAAAGACATCTTCAAAGAGGACCACATATCCACTTGCAGATTCCACAAAAAGAGAGTTTCAACAATGCTCTATCCATAGGAGGGTTCAAATCTGTGAGTTGAATGCAATCATCCCAGAGAAGTTTCTGAGAAGGCTTCTCTCCAGTTTTTATGTGACCATAATTCGTTTTCCACCACAGGCCTGAAAGCGCTCCAAATGTCCACTTGTAGACACTACGAAAAGCATGTTTCAGAACTACTCTATGAAAAGCAATGTGAAACTCTGGGAGTTGAACACAAACATCACAGAGAAGTTTCTGAGAATGCTTCTGTTTTAGTTCTGTGCGTTTTATCCCGTTTCCAACGAAATCCTCAGAGAGGCCCAAATATCCACTTGCAGATTCCACAGAAAGAGTGATTGGAAACTGCTGTTTGAAAAGGAACCTTCAACTCTGTGAGTTGAATGCAATCATCACAAAGAAGTTTCTGACAATGCTTCTATCTAGCTTTTACGGGAAGATAATTCCTTTTCCACCACAGGCCTCAAAGCCCTCCAAATGTCCACTTGCAGATTCTGGAAAAAGAGTGTTTCAAAGCTTCTCTCTCGAAAGGAAAGTTCAACTCTGTGAGTTGAATGCAAGCATCACAAAGAAGTTTCTGAGAATGCTACTGTCTAGCTTTTATATGAAGCTATTTCCTTTACTACCATAGGCCTGAAAGCGGTCCATATCTCCACTTGCAGATTCTACACAAAGAGAGTTTCCAAACTGCTCTGTCAAAGGGAATGTTCAACTCTGTGACTTGAATGCAATCATCACAAAGTAGTTTCTGAGAATGCTTCTGTTTTAGTTCTGTGCGTTTTATCCCGTTTCCAACGAAATCCTCAGAGAGGCCCAAATATCCACTTGCAGATTCTACAAATAGTGTGTTTCGAAACTGCTCCATCCAAAGGAATGTTCAGCTCTGTGAGTTAAACTCAGTCGTCACCAAGAGTTTTACTGTGAATGCTATCTGTTTTAGTTCTGTGCGGTTTATCCCGTTTCCAACGAAATCCTCAGAGAGGACCAAATACCCACTTGCAGTTTCTACAAAAAGAGTGTTTCAAAGCTGCACTATCAAAGAAAGATTCAGCACTCTGAGTTGAATGCAAACATCACGAAGAGGGCTCTGAGAATGCTTCTGTTTAGTTCTGTGCGGTTTATCCCGTTTCCAACGAAATCCTCAGAGAGGACCAAATATCCACTTGCAGTTTCTACAAGAAGAGTGTTTCAAAGCTGAACTATCAAAGAAAGGTTCAGCACTGTGAGTTGAATGCAAACATCACGAAGAGGGTTCTGAGAATGCTTCTGTCTTCTTTCTATAGGAAGTTATTTCCTTTACTACGGTAGGCCTCAAAGAAGTGCAATTATCCCCTTGCAGTTTCTACAAAAAGAGTGTTTCAAACCTGAACTATCAAAGAAAGGTTCCACACTGTGAGTTGAATGCAGACATCACGAAGAAGGTTCTGAGAATGCTTCTGTTTAGTCAGCTGAAATTATCCCGTTTCCATCGAATTCCTCAGAGAGGTCCAAATATGCTCTTGCAGATTCTGCAGAAAGTGTGTTTCTAAACTGCTACATCGCAAGGAATGTTCAGCTCTGTGAGTTCCACTCAATCATCCCAAAGAATTTTCTGAGAAAGCTTCTGTCTACATGTCATGTGAAGATATACCCGTTTCGAACGAAGGACACAGAGTGGTCCAAATATCCACTTGTAGATCCTGCAAAAAGAGTGTTTCAAACGTGAACTTTGAAAGGAAAGTTCAACTCTGGGATTTGAATGCAAACATCACAAAGAAGATTCTGAGACTGCTTCTGTATAGTTTTTATGTGAAGATGATTTCGTTTCCAACGAAATCTTCAAAGAGGTCTACATGTCCCCTTGCAGATGCCACAGAAAGAGAGTTTCAAAACTGCGCTCTCAAAAGGAGTGTTCAACTCCGTGAGTTGAATGCAGTCATCACAGAGAAGCTTCTGAGAATGCTTCTATCTAGTATTTAGGTGAAGATATTTCCTTTTCCACCACAAACCACAAAGCCCTCCAAACGTCCACTTGCAGATTCTAGAAAAAGAGTGTTTCATAGCTGCTCTTTCCAAAGGAAAGTTCAACTCTGGGAGTTGAATACAAACATCACCAAAAAGTTCCTGAGAATGCATCTGTCTAGTTTTTCTATGAAGCTATTCCCTTTACTACCATAGGCCTCAAAGCGCTCCAAATCTCCACTTGCACATTCCACAACAAGAGTGTTTCCAAACTGCTCTATCAATAGGAATGTTCAACTCTGTGAGGTGAATGCAATCATCACAAAGCAGTTTCTGAGAATGCTTCCGTTTAGTTAGGTGCAGTTATCCCGTTTCCAACGAAATCCTCAGAGAGGTCCAAATATCCACTTGTAGATTCTACAAAAAGTGTGTCTCAAACCTGCTCCATCCAAAGGAATGGTCAGCTCTGTGATTTAAACTCAATCATCACAAAGTATTTTCTGAGAATGCTTCTGTCTAGATTTTATGCGAAGATATACCCGTTTCGAACGAAGGCCACAGAGTGGTCCAAATAGCCAATTGCAGATCCTACAAAAAGAGTGTTTCAAACCTGAACTATCAAAGGAAGGTTCAACTCTGGGATTTGAATGCAAACATCACCAAGAAGTTTCTGAGAATGCTTCTGTTTAGTTTTTATGTGAAGATATTCCCGTTTCCAAAGACATCTTCGGAGAGGTCCACATATCCACTTGCAGATTCCACAAAAAGAGAGTTTCAACACTGCTCTATCCATAGGAGGGTTCAACTCTGTGAGTTGAATGCAATCATCACAGAGAAGTTTCTGAGAAGGCTTCTCTCCAGTTTTTATGTGACCATAATTCGTTTTCCACCACAGGCCTGAAAGCGCTCCAAATGTCCACTTGCAGACACTACGAAAAGCATGTTTCAGAACTACTCTATGAAAAGCAACGTGAAACTCTGGGAGTTGAACACAAACATCACAGAGAAGTTTCTGAGAATGCTTCTGTTTTAGTTCTGTGCGTTTTATCCCGTTTCCAACGAAATCCTCAGAGAGGCCCAAATATCCACTTGCAGATTCCACAGAAAGAGTGATTGGAAACTGCTGTTTGAAAAGGAACCTTCAACTCTGTGAGTTGAATGCAATCATCACAAAGAAGTTTCTGACAATGCTTCTGTTTTAGTTCTGTGCGGTTTATCCCGTTTCCAACGAAATCCTCAGAGAGGACCAAACATCCACTTGCAGTTTCTACAAAAAGAGTGTTTCAAAGCTGCACTATCAAAGAAAGGTTCAGCACTGTGAGTTGAATGCAAACATCACGAAGAGGGCTCTGAGAATTCTTCTGTTTAGTTCTGTGCGGTTTATCCCGTTTCCAACGAAATCCTCAGAGAGGACCAAATATCCACTTGCAGTTTCTACAAGAAGAGTGTTTCAAAGCTGAACTATCAAAGAAAGGTTCAGCACTGTGAGTTGAATGCAAACATCACGAAGAGGGTTCTGAGAATGCTTCTGTCTTCTTTCTATAGGAAGTTATTTCCTTTACTACGGTAGGCCTCAAAGAAGTGCAATTATCCCCTTGCAGTTTCTACAAAAAGAGTGTTTCAAACCTGAACTATCAAAGAAAGGTTCCACACTGTGAGTTGAATGCAGACATCACGAAGAAGGTTCTGAGAATGCTTCTGTTTAGTCAGCTGAAATTATCCCGTTTCCAACGAATTCCTCAGAGAGGTCCAAATATGCACTTGCAGATTCTGCAGAAAGTGTGTTTCTAAACTGCTACATCGCAAGGAATGTTCAGCTCTGTGAGTTCCACTCAATCATCCCAAAGAATTTTCTGAGAAAGCTTCTGTCTAGATGTCCTGTGAAGATATACCCGTTTCGAACGAAGGACACAGAGTGGTCCAAATATCCACTTGTAGATCCTGCAAAAAGAGTGTTTCAAACGTGAACTTTGAAAGGAAAGTTCAACTCTGGGATTTGAATGCAAACATCACAAAGAAGATTCTGAGACTGCTTCTGTATAGTTTTTATGTGAAGATGATTCCGTTTCCAACGAAATCTTCAAAGAGGTCTACATGTCCCCTTGCAGATGCCACAGAAAGAGAGTTTCAAAACTGCGCTCTCAAAAGGAGTGTTCAACTCCGTGAGTTGAATGCAGTCATCACAGAGAAGCTTCTGAGAATGCTTCTATCTAGTATTTAGGTGAAGATATTTCCTTTTCCACCACAAACCACAAAGCCCTCCAAACGTCCACTTGCAGATTCTAGAAAAAGGGTGTTTCATAGCTGCTCTTTCCAAAGGAAAGTTCAACTCTGGGAGTTGAATACAAACATCACCAAAAAGTTCCTGAGAATGCATCTGTCTAGTTTTTCTATGAAGCTATTCCCTTTACTACCATAGGCCTCAAAGCGCTCCAAATCTCCACTTGCACATTCCACAACAAGAGTGTTTCCAAACTGCTCTATCAATAGGAATGTTCAACTCTGTGAGGTGAATGCAATCATCACAAAGCAGTTTCTGAGAATGCTTCCGTTTAGTTAGGTGCAGTTATCCCGTTTCCAACGAAATCCTCAGAGAGGTCCAAATATCCACTTGTAGATTCTACAAAAAGTGTGTCTCAAACCTGCTCCATCCAAAGGAATGGTCAGCTCTGTGATTTAAACTCAATCATCACAAAGTATTTTCTGAGAATGCTTCTGTCTAGATTTTATGCGAAGATATACCCGTTTCGAACGAAGGCCACAGAGTGGTCCAAATAGCCACTTGCAGATCCTACAAAAAGAGTGTTTCAAACCTGAACTATCAAAGGACGGTTCAACTCTGGGATTTGAATGCAAACATCACCAAGAAGTTTCTGAGAATGCTTCTGTTTAGTTTTTATGTGAAGATAGCCCCGTTTCCAAAGACATCTTCGGAGAGGTCCACATATCCACTTGCAGATTCCACAAAAAGAGAGTTTCAACACTGCTCTATCCATAGGACGGTTCAACTCTGTGAGTTGAATGCAATCATCACAGAGAAGTTTCTGAGAAGGCTTCTCTCCAGTTTTTATGTGACCATAATTCGTTTTCCACCACAGGCCTGAAAGCGCTCCAAATGTCCACTTGCAGACACTACGAAAAGCATGTTTCAGAACTACTCTATGAAAAGCAACGTGAAACTCTGGGAGTTGAACACAAACATCACAGAGAAGTTTCTGAGAATGCTTCTGTTTAGCTTTTCTGTGAAGATTCTCCCGTTTCCAACGAAATCTTCAAAGAGGTCGAAATATCCACTTGCAGATTCCACAGAAAGAGTGATTGGAAACTGCTGTTTGAAAAGGAACCTTCAACTCTGTGAGTTGAATGCAATCATCACAAAGAAGTTTCTGACAATGCTTCTATCTAGCATTTACGGGAAGATAATTCCTTTTCCACCACAGGCCTCAAAGCCCTCCAAATGTCCCCTTGCAGATTCTGGAAAAAGAGTGTTTCAAAGCTTCTCTCTTGAAAGGAATGTTCAACTCTGTGAGTTGAATGCAAGCATCACAAAGAAGTTTCTGAGAATGTTACTGTCTAGCTTTTATATGAAGCTATTTCCTTTACTACCATAGGCCTCAAAGCGGTCCATATCTCCACTTGCAGATTCTACACAAAGAGAGTTTCCAAACTGCTCTGTCAAAGGGAATGTTCAACTCTGTGACTTGAATGCAATCATCACAAAGTAGTTTCTGAGAATGCTTCTGTTTAGTTCTGTGCGGTTTATCCCGTTTCCAACGAAATCCTCAGAGAGGCCTAAATATCCACTTGCACATTCTACAAATAGTGTGTTTCGAAACTGCTCCATCCAAAGGAATGTTCAGCTCTGTGAGTTAAACTCAGTCGTCACCAAGAGTTTTCTGTGAATGCTTCTGTTTTAGTTCTGTGCGGGTTATCCCGTTTCCAACGAAATCCTCAGAGAGGTCCAAATATCTACTTGCAGTTTCTACAGAAAGACCGTTTCAAACCTGAACTATCAAAGAAAGGTTCAACACTGTGAGTTGAATGCAAACATCACGAAGAAGGTTCTGAGAATGCTTCTGTTTAGTTCTGTGCAGTTTATCCCGTTTCCAACGAAATGCTCAGAGAGGACCAAATATCCACTTGCAGTTTCTACAAAAAGAGTGTTTCAAAGCTGAACTATCAAAGAAAGGTTCAGCACTGTGAGTTGAATGCAAACATCACGAAGAGGGTTCTGAGAATGCTTCTGTCTTCTTTCTATAGGAAGTTATTTCCTTTACTACGGTAGGCCTCAAAGAAGTGCAATTATCCCCTTGCAGTTTCTACAAAAAGAGTGTTTCAAACCTGAACTATCAAAGAAAGGTTCCACACTGTGAGTTGAATGCAGACATCACGAAGAAGGTTCTGAGAATGCTTCTGTTTAGTCAGCTGAAATTATCCCGTTTCCAACGAATTCCTCAGAGAGGTCCAAATATGCACTTGCAGATTCTGCAGAAAGTGTGTTTCTAAACTGCTACATCGCAAGGAATGTTCAGCTCTGTGAGTTCCACTCAATCATCCCAAAGAATTTTCTGAGAAAGCTTCTGTCTAGATGTCGTGTGAAGATATACCCGTTTCGAACGAAGGACACAGAGTGGTCCAAATATCCACTTGTAGATCCTGCAAAAAGAGTGTTTCAAACGTGAACTTTGAAAGGAAAGTTCAACTCTGGGATTTGAATGCAAACATCACAAAGAAGATTCTGAGACTGCTTCTGTATAGATTTTATGTGAAGATGATTCCGTTTCCAACGAAATCTTCAAAGAGGTCTACATGTCCCCTTGCGGATGCCACAGAAAGAGAGTTTCAAAACTGCGCTCTCAAGAGGAGTGTTCAACTCCGTGAGTTGAATGCAGTCATCACAGAGAAGCTTCTGAGAATGCTTCTCTCTAGTATTTAGGTGAAGATATTTCCTTTTCCACCACAAACCACAAAGCCCTCCAAACGTCCACTTGCAGATTCTAGAAAAAGAGTGTTTCATAGCTGCTCTTTCCAAAGGAAAGTTCAACTCTGGGAGTTGAATACAAACATCACCAAAAAGTTCCTGAGAATGCATCTGTCTAGTTTTTCTATGAAGCTATTCCCTTTACTACCATAGGCCTCAAAGCGCTCCAAATCTCCACTTGCACATTCCACAACAGGAGTGTTTCCAAACTGCTCTATCAATAGGAATGTTCAACTCTGTGAGGTGAATGCAATCATCACAAAGCAGTTTCTGAGAATGCTTCCGTTTAGTTAGGTGCAGTTATCCCGTTTCCAACGAAATCCTCAGAGAGGTCCAAATATCCACTTGTAGATTCTACAAAAAGTGTGTCTCAAGCCTGCTCCATCCAAAGGAATGTTCAGCTCTGTGAGTTAAACTCAATCATCACAAAGTATTTTCTGAGAATGCTTCTGTCTAGATTTTATGCGAAGATGTACCCGTTTCGAACGAAGGCCACAGAGTGGTCCAAATATCCACTTGCAGATCCTACAAAAAGAGTGTTTCAAACCTGCACTATCAAAGGAAGGTTCAACTCTGGGATTTGAATGCAAACATCACCAAGAAATTTCTGAGAATGCTTCTGTTTAGTTTTTATGTGAAGATATTCCCGTTTCCAAAGACATCTTCGGAGAGGTCCACATATCCACTTGCAGATTCCACAAAAAGAGAGTTTCAACAATGCTCTATCCATAGGAGGGTTCAACTCTGTGAGTTGAATGCAATCATCACAGAGAAGTTTCTGAGAAGGCTTCTCTCCAGTTTTTATGTGACCATAATTCGTTTTCCACCACAGGCCTGAAAGCGCTCCAAATGTCCACTTGCAGACACTACGAAAAGCATGTTTCAGAACTACTCTATGAAAAGCAACGTGAAACTCTGGGAGTTGAACACAAACATCACAGAGAAGTTTCTGAGAATGCTTCTGTTTAGCTTTTCTGTGAAGATTCTCCCGTTTCCAACGAAATCTTCAAAATAGGTCCAAATATCCACTTGCAGATTCCACAGAAAGAGTGATTGGAAACTGCTGTTTGAAAAGGAACCTTCAACTCGGTGAGTTGAATGCAATCATCACAAAGAAGTTTCTGACAATGCTTCTGTTTTAGTTCTGTGCGGTTTATCCCGTTTCCAACGAAATCCTCAGAGAGGACCAAACATCCACTTGCAGTTTCTACAAAAAGAGTGTTTCAAAGCTGCACTATCAAAGAAAGGTTCAGCACTGTGAGGTTGAATGCAAACATCACGAAGAGGGCTCTGAGAATTCTTCTGTTTAGTTCTGTGCGGTTTATCCCGTTTCCAACGAAATCCTCAGAGAGGACCAAATATCCACTTGCAGTTTCTACAAGAAGAGTGTTTCAAAGCTGAACTATCAAAGAAAGGTTCAGCACTGTGAGTTGAATGCAAACATCACGAAGAGGGTTCTGAGAATGCTTCTGTCTTCTTTTTATAGGAAGTTATTTCCTTTACTACGGTACTCCTCAAAGAGTGCAATGATCCCCTTGCAGTTTCTACAAAAAGAGTGTTTCAAACCTGAACTATCAAAGAAAGGTTCCACACTGTGAGTTGAATGCAGACATCACGAAGAAGGTTCTGAGAATGCTTCTGTTTAGTCAGCTGAAATTATCCCGTTTCCAACGAATTCCTCAGAGAGGTCCAAATATGCACTTGCAGATTCTGCAGAAAGTGTGTTTCTAAACTGCTACATCGCAAGGAATGTTCAGCTCTGTGAGTTCCACTCAATCATCCCAAAGAATTTTCTGAGAAAGCTTCTGTCTAGATGTCGTGTGAAGATATACCCGTTTCGAACGAAGGACACAGAGTGGTCCAAATATCCACTTGTAGATCCTGCAAAAAGAGTGTTTCAAACGTGAACTTTGAAAAGAAAGTTCAACTCTGGGATTTGAATGCAAACATCACAAAGAAGATTCTGAGACTGCTTCTGTATAGTTTTTATGTGAAGATGATTCCGTTTCCAACGAAATCTTCAAAGAGGTCTACATGTCCCCTTGCAGATGCCACAGAAAGAGAGTTTCAAAACTGCGCTCTCAAAAGGAGTGTTCAACTCCGTGAGTTGAATGCAGTCATCACAGAGAAGCTTCTGAGAATGCTTCTATCTAGTATTTAGGTGAAGATATTTCCTTTTCCACCACAAACCACAAAGCCCTCCAAACGTCCACTTGCAGATTCTAGAAAAAGAGTGTTTCATAGCTGCTCTTTCCAAAGGAAAGTTCAACTCTGGGAGTTGAATACAAACATCACCAAAAGGTTCCTGAGAATGCATCTGTCTAGTTTTTCTATGAAGCTATTCCCTTTACTACCATAGGCCTCAAAGCACTCCAAATCTCCACTTGCACATTCCACAACAAGAGTGTTTCCAAACTGCTCTATCAATAGGAATGTTCAACTCTGTGAGGTGAATGCAATCATCACAAAGCAGTTTCTGAGAATGCTTCCGTTTAGTTAGGTGCAGTTATCCCGTTTCCAACGAAATCCTCAGAGAGGTCCAAATATCCACTTGTAGATTCTACAAAAAGTGTGTCTCAAACCTGCTCCATCCAAAGGAATGTTCAGCTCTGTGAGTTCAACTCAATCATCACAAAGTATTTTCTGAGAATGCTTCTGTCTAGATTTTATGCGAAGATGTACCCGTTTCGAACGAAGGCCACAGAGTGGTCCAAATATCCACTTGCAGATCCTACAAAAAGAGTGTTTCAAACCTAAACTATCAAAGGAAGGTTCAACTCTGGGATTTGAATGCAAACATCACCAAGAAGTTTCTGAGAATGCTTCTGTTTAGTTTTTATGTGAAGATATTCCCGTTTCCAAAGACATCTTCGGAGAGGTCCACATATCCACTTGCAGATTCCACAAAAAGAGAGTTTCAACACTGCTCTATCCATAGGAGGGTTCAACTCTGTGAGTTGAATGCAATCATCACAGAGAAGTTTCTGAGAAGGCTTCTCTCCAGTTTTTATGTGACCATAATTCGTTTTCCACCACAGGCCTGAAAGCGCTCCAAATGTCCACTTGCAGACACTACGAAAAGCATGTTTCAGAACTACTCTATGAAAAGCAACGTGAAACTCTGGGAGTTGAACACAAACATCACAGAGAAGTTTCTGAGAATGCTTCTGTTTTAGTTCTGTGCGTTTTATCCCGTTTCCAACGAAATCCTCAGAGAGGCCCAAATATCCACTTGCAGATTCCACAGAAAGAGTGATTGGAAACTGCTGTTTGAAAAGGAACCTTCAACTCTGTGAGTTGAATGCAATCATCACAAAGAAGTTTCTGACAATGCTTCTATCTAGCTTTTACGGGAAGATAATTCCTTTTCCACCACAGGCCTCAAAGCCCTCCAAATGTCCACTTGCAGATTCTGGAAAAAGAGTGTTTCAAAGCTTCTCTCTCGAAAGGAAAGTTCAACTCTGTGAGTTGAATGCAAGCATCACAAAGAAGTTTCTGAGAATGCTACTGTCTAGCTTTTATATGAAGCTATTTCCTTTACTACCATAGGCCTCAAAGCGGTCCATATCTCCACTTGCAGATTCTACACAAAGAGAGTTTCCAAACTGCTCTGTCAAAGGGAATGTTCAACTCTGTGACTTGAATGCAATCATCACAAAGTAGTTTCTGAGAATGCTTCTGTTTAGTTCTGTGCGGTTTATCCCGTTTCCAACGAAATCCTCAGAGAGGCCTAAATATCCACTTGCACATTCTACAAATAGTGTGTTTCGAAACTGCTCCATCCAAAGGAATGTTCAGCTCTGTGAGTTAAACTCAGTCGTCACCAAGAGTTTTCTGTGAATGCTTCTGTTTTAGTTCTGTGCGGTTTATCCCGTTTCCAACGAAATCCTCAGAGAGGTCCAAATATCTACTTGCAGTTTCTACAGAAAGACCGTTTCAAACCTGAACTATCAAAGAAAGGTTCAACACTGTGAGTTGAATGCAAACATCACGAAGTAGGTTCTGAGAATGCTTCTGTTTAGTTCTGTGTGGTTTATCCCATTTCCAACGAAATCCTCAGAGAGGACCAAATATCCACTTGCAGTTTCTACAAAAAGAGTGTTTCAAAGCTGAACTATCAAAGAAAGTTTCAGCACTGTGAGTTGAATGCAAACATCACGAAGAGGGTTCCGAGAATGCTTCTGTCTTCTTTCTATAGGAAGTTATTTCCTTTACTACGGTAGGCCTCAAAGAAGTGCAATTATCCCCTTGCAGTTTCTACAAAAAGAGTGTTTCAAACCTGAACTATCAAAGAAAGGTTCCACACTGTGAGTTGAATGCAGACATCACGAAGAAGGTTCTGAGAATGCTTCTGTTTAGTCAGCTGAAATTATCCCGTTTCCAACGAATTCCTCAGAGAGGTCCAAATATGCACTTGCAGATTCTGCAGAAAGTGTGTTTCTAAACTGCTACATCGCAAGGAATGTTCAGCTCTGTGAGTTCCACTCAATCATCCCAAAGAATTTTCTGAGAAAGCTTCTGTCTAGATGTCATGTGAAGATATACCCGTTTCGAACGAAGGACACAGAGTGGTCCAAATATCCACTTGTAGATCCTGCAAAAAGAGTGCTTCAAACGTGAACTTTGAAAGGAAAGTTCAACTCTGGGATTTGAATGCAAACATCACAAAGAAGATTCTGAGACTGCTTCTGTATAGTTTTTATGTGAAGATGATTCCGTTTCCAACGAAATCTTCAAAGAGGTCTACATGTCCCCTTGCAGATGCCACAGAAAGAGAGTTTCAAAACTGCGCTCTCAAAAGGAGTGTTCAACTCCGTGAGTTGAATGCAGTCATCACAGAGAAGCTTCTGAGAATGCTTCTATCTAGTATTTAGGTGAAGATATTTCCTTTTCCACCACAAACCACAAAGCCCTCCAAACGTCCACTTGCAGATTCTAGAAAAAGGGTGTTTCATAGCTGCTCTTTCCAAAGGAAAGTTCAACTCTGGGAGTTGAATACAAACATCACCAAAAAGTTCCTGAGAATGCATCTGTCTAGTTTTTCTATGAAGCTATTCCCTTTACTACCATAGGCCTCAAAGCGCTCCAAATCTCCACTTGCACATTCCACAACAAGAGTGTTTCCAAACTGCTCTATCAATAGGAATGTTCAACTCTGTGAGGTGAATGCAATCATCACAAAGCAGTTTCTGAGAATGCTTCCGTTTAGTTAGGTGCAGTTATCGCGTTTCCAACGAAATCCTCAGAGAGGTCCAAATATCCACTTGTAGATTCTACAAAAAGTGTGTCTCAAACCTGCTCCATCCAAAGGAATGTTCAGCTCTGTGAGTTCAACTCAATCATCACAAAGTATTTTCTGAGAATGCTTCTGTCTAGATTTTATGCGAAGATGTACCCGTTTCGAACGAAGGCCACAGAGTGGTCCAAATATCCACTTGCAGATCCTACAAAAAGAGTGTTTCAAACCTGAACTCTCAAAGGAAGGTTCAACTCTGGGATTTGAATGCAAACATCACGAAGAAGTTTCTGAGAATGCTTCTGTTTAGTTTTTATGTGAAGATATTCCCGTTTCCAAAGACATCTTCGGAGAGGTCCACATATCCACTTGCAGATTCCACAAAAAGAGAGTTTCAACACTGCTCTATCCATAGGAGGGTTCAACTCTGTGAGTTGAATGCAATCATCACAGAGAAGTTTCTGAGAAGGCTTCTCTCCAGTTTTTATGTGACCATAATTCGTTTTCCACCACAGGCCTGAAAGCGCTCCAAATGTCCACTTGCAGACACTACGAAAAGCATGTTTCAGAACTACTCTATGAAAAGCAACGTGAAACTCTGGGAGTTGAACACAAACATCACAGAGAAGTTTCTGAGAATGCTTCTGTTTTAGTTCTGTGCGTTTTATCCCGTTTCCAACGAAATCCTCAGAGAGGCCCAAATATCCACTTGCAGATTCCACAGAAAGAGTGATTGGAAACTGCTGTTTGAAAAGGAACCTTCAACTCTGTGAGTTGAATGCAATCATCACAAAGAAGTTTCTGACAATGCTTCTGTTTTAGTTCTGTGCGGTTTATCCCGTTTCCAACGAAATCCTCAGAGAGGACCAAACATCCACTTGCAGTTTCTACAAAAAGAGTGTTTCAAAGCTGCACTATCAAAGAAAGGTTCAGCACTGTGAGTTGAATGCAAACATCACGAAGAGGGCTCTGAGAATTCTTCTGTCTTCTTTCTATAGGAAGTTATTTCCTTTACTACGGTAGGCCTCAAAGAAGTGCAATTATCCCCTTGCAGTTTCTACAAAAAGAGTGTTTCAAACCTGAACTATCAAAGAAAGGTTCCACACTGTGAGTTGAATGCAGACATCACGAAGAAGGTTCTGAGAATGCTTCTGTTTAGTCAGCTGAAATTATCCCGTTTCCAACGAATTCCTCAGAGAGGTCCAAATATGCACTTGCAGATTCTGCAGAAAGTGTGTTTCTAAACTGCTACATCGCAAGGAATGTTCAGCTCTGTGAGTTCCACTCAATCATCCCAAAGAATTTTCTGAGAAAGCTTCTGTCTAGATGTCATGTGAAGATATACCCGTTTCGAACGAAGGCCACAGAGTGGTCCAAATATCCACTTGTAGATCCTGCAAAAAGAGTGTTTCAAACGTGAACTTTGAAAGGAAAGTTCAACTCTGGGATTTGAATGCAAACATCACAAAGAAGATTCTGAGACTGCTTCTGTATAGTTTTGATGTGAAGATGATTCCGTTTCCAACGAAATCTTCAAAGAGGTCTACATGTCCCCTTGCAGATGCCACAGAAACAGAGTTTCAAAACTGCGCTCTCAAAAGGAGTGTTCAACTCCGTGAGTTGAACGCAGTCATCACAGAGAAGCTTCTGAGAATGCTTCTATCTAGTATTTAGGTGAAGATATTTCCTTTTCCACCACAAACCACAAAGCCCTCCAAACGTCCACTTGCAGATTCTAGAAAAAGAGTGTTTCATAGCTGCTCTTTCCAAAGGAAAGTTCAACTCTGGGAGTTGAATACAAACATCACCAAAAAGTTCCTGAGAATGCATCTGTCTAGTTTTTCTATGAAGCTATTCCCTTTACTACCATAAGCCTCAAAGCGCTCCAAATCTCCACTTGCACATTCCACAACAAGAGTGTTTCCAAACTGCTCTATCAATAGGAATGTTCAACCCTGTGAGGTGAATGCAATCATCACAAAGCAGTTTCTGAGAATGCTTCCGTTTAGTTAGGTGCAGTTATCCCGTTTCCAACGAAATCCTCAGAGAGGTCCAAATATCCACTTGTAGATTCTACAAAAAGTGTGTCTCAAACCTGCTCCATCCAAAGGAATGTTCAGCTCTGTGAGTTCAACTCAATCATCACAAAGTATTTTCTGAGAATGCTTCTGTCTAGATTTTATGCGAAGATATACCCGTTTCGAACGAAGGCCACAGAGTGGTCTAAATAGCCAATTGCAGATCCTACAAAAAGAGTGTTTCAAACCTGAACTATCAAAGGAAGGTTCAACTCTGGGATTTGAATGCAAACATCACCAAGAAGTTTCTGAGAATGCTTCTGTTTAGTTTTTATGTGAAGATATTCCCGTTTCCAAAGACATCTTCGGAGAGGTCCACATATCCACTTGCAGATTCCACAAAAAGAGAGTTTCAACACTGCTCTATCCATAGGAGGGTTCAACTCTGTGAGTTGAATGCAATCATCACAGAGAAGTTTCTGAGAAGGCTTCTCTCCAGTTTTTATGTGACCATAATTCGTTTTCCACCACAGGCCTGAAAGCGCTCCAAATGTCCACTTGCAGACACTACGAAAAGCATGTTTCAGAACTACTCTATGAAAAGCAACGTGAAACTCTGGGAGTTGAACACAAACATCACAGAGAAGTTTCTGAGAATGCTTCTGTTTAGCTTTTCTGTGAAGATTCTCCCGTTTCCAACGAAATCTTCAAAGAGGTCCAAATATCCACTTGCAGATTCCACAGAAAGAGTGATTGGAAACTGCTCTTTGAAAAGGAACCTTCAACTCTGTGACTTGAATGCAATCATCACAAAGAAGTTTCTGACAATGCTTCTATCTAGCTTTTACGGGAAGATAATTCCTTTTCCACCACAGGCCTCAAAGCCCTCCAAATGTCCACTTGCAGATTCTGGAAAAAGAGTGTTTCAAAGCTTCTCTCTCGAAAGGAAAGTTCAACTCTGTGAGTTGAATGCAAGCATCACAAAGAAGTTTCTGAGAATGCGACTGTCTAGCTTTTATATGAAGCTATTTCCTTTACTACCATAGTCCTCAAAGCATTCCATATCTCCACTTGCAGATTCTACACAAAGAGAGTTTCCAAACTGCTCTGTCAAAGAGAATGTTCAGCTCTGTGACTTGAATGCAATCATCACAAAGTAGTTTCTCAGAATGCTTCTGTTTTAGTTCTGTGCGGTTTATCCCGTTTCCAACGAAATCCTCAGAGAGGCCCAAATATCCACTTGCACATTCTACAAAGAGTGTGTTTCGAAACTGCTCCATCCAAAGGAATGTTCAGCTCTGTGAGTTAAACTCAGTCGTCACCAAGAGTTTTCTGTGAATGCTTCTGTTTAGTTCTGTGCGGTTTATCCCGTTTCCAACGAAATCCTCAGAGAGGACCAAATATCCACTTGCAGTTTCTACAAAAAGAGTGTTTCAAAGCTGAACTATCAAAGAAAGGTTCAGCACTGTGAGTTGAATGCAAACATCACGAAGAAGGTTCTGAGAATGCTTCTGTCTTCTTTTTATAGGAAGTTATTTCCTTTACTACGGTAGACCTGAAAGAAGTGCAATTATCCCCTTGCAGTTTCTACAAAAAGAGTGTTTCAAACCTGAACTATCAAAGAAAGGTTCCACACTGTGAGTTGAATGCAGACATCACGAAGAAGGTTCTGAGAATGCTTCTGTTTAGTCGGCTGAAATTATCCCGTTTCCAACGAATTCCTCAGAGAGGTCCAAATATGCACTTGCAGATTCTGCAGAAAGTGTGTTTCTAAACTGCTCCATCGCAAGGAATGTTCAGCTCTGTGAGTTCAACTCAATCATCCCAAAGAATTTTCTGAGAAAGCTTCTGTCTTCTTTTTATAGGAAGTTATTTCCTTTACTACGGTAGGCCTCAAAGAAGTGCAGTTATCCCCTTGCAGTTTCTAGAAAAAGAGTGTTTCAAACCTGAACTATCAAAGAAAGGTTCCACACTGTGAGTTGAATGCAGACATCACGAAGAAGGTTCTGAGAATGCT